>NC_000013.11:92010554-92313585 GCF_000001405.40 Homo sapiens | reverse complement strand
CTGATGCAAGGGAAACAACTTCTGGCACAATCAGCAAAAAAGAACCTCAACTTCTGGAAACAGTAGATTTTGGATACATCATTTTGTTTTAGTAATTATTTCTCTCATTTCTGCTATGTTGCTTTGTCACAAATTACTTGTAAATGTCTGAAGTATACAAGGGTCCCTGTCCTTGGGTAAAATTCAGACACTATGTGGCTTTTAGGTATAAATGATACTGGATAGATGGAGATTTTTAAAAGTCTATTACTCTTCTCAGCATGGTTCCCAGGAATCAATATTGGTGTGTTATTTCTTGGAAAGTGGAGAACTGGCATGAGGTTCTACTTCAGTCACCTCTGCTGGCTAGAAAAGTGCTCATGTATATGAGCTGCTTTGTTGTAATTTTCTCTCTCTCCTATTCATGTTGGCTTTCTTGTTCTACTTTCTTTGGCCATAAAACATTTGGAATTATCATTTCATGGAGAGAGAGAGGTGACAGACTTTTGTTATTTAGAAAACTCACTCTTTATATGAACAAGTAGGTGGTCCACATCATTAAGTAGGTGATCCCCATCATTAACTCCACATTAATATGTGAATTACACATTAATAAGCCTTCCAGAAGTATTATAGGCAGCCCATTTCCTCAAAAAAGGCATTTTGAAATTAATTAGTGGTATTGAAATTTATTACCCATTTGTATTACAATAACTAGTTAATTCCTATACCACGGATGACATTTCAGAAATCGCTTATGTATTAGACATTATAATCAAGAACTGGAAAAAAATTTCAAAAATGTAATTCAAGAGATTGAAGTCATTAAACAGAAATGTTACTTGTTAATAAAAAATGAAGATAAAATTACACTCACAGACAATTCTTTTTTTCTAATTTAACATGAAGATCACTATGTCCATGCCACTTTAATATGTCAACAAATGACAATTTTATGATGAATTTTGAAAGAAATTTTAGAGGAGAGGAAGACTTGATGGATTTCATTCAACTATTAATCAATATCCAGTGTAAAATATTAAGCAGTCACTTAAATTATGAAAATAATATATGTTGAAGGCAAAATATAAAATAGTCCAAATGTGTATGAAATGAAAATAAATGCCTTTCTCATATAATCAACCTCCTTTCATTATTTTTTGACATAACCACTGTTATGAGTTTATCTTTTCAGAATATTATGTAACACACATAGAACCTTAGTTTTGCACAAATTATTTTGATACACTCTCTTATAACTTGTTTTTTTTCCCCCCACTCAACAGTATGGACTATATCATGTATCATATAGTCCATTAGCACACACATCTTGAATCTTTTGGAAAGAGAAAAGTGAAAAGAAACTGGAGATGTTCTAGAAAGAGGAGTTGAAGAAAGGCTTTGAAATCCATATTCTTTAAAATCTCGAAATATTTTAAACCTAACTTAGCCTCACCAAGGCCCATGTAACCTCTTAAGAAAGTAAATCTTATCTCCTCATTGTCATGGTTAAAATCCTTTAAATAAAGATCAAAACCCTTTAAGTGGTCAAAATAGCAAGATTTGTTGTTCCTATAACATCTGACTTATTCCGTTCTCTCCTTGTTCTCTCAGCTTTGCTACCTCTAAATTCCAGGTAATTCTCTGCTCCTTCTCTTTCGAGGGTCTTCACACATGCTTTTATTCAGCCTGAATTGCCTCACCCTTTGCTCACCTTACGCCATTTTCATTCTACAGACATCAGCCAAAGGTTATTCTCCCAAAGAACAATTTGCTAGTGATATGGTTTGGCTGTGTCCCCACCCAAATCTCATCTTGAATAGCTCCCATAATTCCCACATGTCATGGGATGGACCCAGTGGGAGGTAACTGAATCATAGGGGTGGGTTTTTCCCATGCTGTTCTTGTGATAGTGAATAAGTCTCATGAGATCTGATGGTTTTATAAAGGGAAGTTACCCTGCACACACTCTCTTGGCTGCTGCCATGTAAGACGTGACTTTGTTTGTTCTTTACCTCCTGCTATGATTGTGAGGCCTCCCCAGCCATGCTTCACTGTGAGTCAATTAAACTTCTTTCCTTTATAAATTACCCAGTCTTGGGTATGTCTTTATTAGCAGAGTAAGAACTGACTAATACAAGTAGCATTGAGACCAAATCAAATTCTCCTCCTATGGTTTCCCTTTTATAAAATGTACGAGTAATTGAATAAATAATGTATGTAGTTGTTAAATACCTAATTCCTCTAGCAGAAGATGAGCCCAATTCACCTTCTGAAATGGCCCTAAAGGGCAGGAGCCATCTTCACTGCTCTTTTCTCAGTGGCCAGGAGAGTTCCTGCACATGCTAGCTGCTTGAAAAATAGTTTGAATAATGACCTTCTTTCACATTTTTAATTGCTATATGGACATTTTATAATTTAACATTACCTCAATTAATATTTTCCATGGACTCCCGTATATGTTCAATAGATTTATGAATTTATAACTTTTTGTTTTTCTTGTTTTTCCATAAAAGATATAAAGTGGCTCTTTCCTGTGTGAATCTTTCAATTTTATTTTTTCTCTCTATTTTCAATTTCAGACTACTTTAACATTTGAAGGCTGAAAATTAGCTGCCATTGACATAGAAAATATTCGTGGAATAATGATATGATACATTCAACTTGAATAACCATCCAGAGTTGAGTATTTACTCAGTTAGATGTCTCTTTCAAAAACATTTTTATTATCAGTGCTATGTTTATGGATGAGCAGATAGCCATTCAATATTTTTACCCTATAATCTGGTTACTATTTGTTTACCGAGTGTAAGTTAAACAGTTTTTACAATGCTTTGTATACCTATTTAGATGCCTAGAAAAAGGCAGTAGGGAGGACTGAAAATAGGATCTTAAAAGTTTTAAAATAGAAAATGAGAGAAAATAAAAACTTTATTAAACAATTGGGAAGGCCTATCCCTTTCTATGATATGGCTAGTCTGCAGATAAAGTATAGGTTTGAGTTTCCTTCTGGTCTACTTTCACGGGAGTGTGTACAAATAGTTTTATGGAGGCCATCAAATTCAGCCAGCATGAAATGAAATGCAATGCAACAATTAAACCACATTTCTGTTTTCCAGAAAGGTACAGCTGTTACTGTAGACTTAACTTTTGGCAAAAGTAGATGTCTATGTTGCAGTATTGGTGGATATAAAGAAATAAACAGAGAATTGAGTAATATGATGAAAGAGTCAATACAAAAGCATTCAGCAATTTTGCTTTCAAGAATATTTTCTATTAGAATATAACAGGAGAAAATTAGCCTCAAACATATGTGTGAAAATTAAAAATACATAGATAAAAGATGAAGATGTGATAGATTGTTATTTAGAGGGGTGTTAAAAATATATTCACAATAGCCAAGATAAGGAATCAACCTGTGTCCATCAACAAATGAATGAATAAAGAAAATGTGATATAAATACATATATACATAAACATACATACACATACAATGGAATATTATTCAGCCTTAAAAAAGAAGGGAATCCTATCACTAGTGACAGGATGGATTAAAGTGGAGGACATCATGGTAAGCAAAATAAACCAGATTCAGACAGGCAAATAATGCATGATCTTTCTTACCTGTGGATTCTAAAAAAAGTCAGACTCATGAAAGGAGAGAGAAGAAGACTGCCAGGGGATAAAAAGTAGTAGGTTGCAGGGAGAGAATGTGGAATTGTTGCACAAAAGACACCAAGTTTTAGCTAAATAGGTTAAATACACTCTGGAGATCTGTTGTACAGCATGATGAATATAAGTAATAATATTCTATTGTGCACTTGCAAATTGCTCAGATAATAGATTTTAAGTGCTCTCACCATAAAAAATTTTTAAAGATAAACATGTGAGATAATGGATATATTCATTAGCTTGATTGTGGTAATCATTTTACAATGTATGCACAAATTAAAAATCATGTTTTATGTATTTAAAATAGGCAAATTTTTCAATTATACTTCAATAAAGTAGAAAAAATAAAAATGTCATTAAATATTTTAAATGATGTTTATATTTCTTAATTATTAGTCAACCAATAAGCAAAATGAACAAACTCAATCAAACCAGTGGTCTGAATCAATAGTGACAGACATACTAGGTTCAATAATTTTGTGTATGAGTAAACACATTCAAATTTCGCTAGTCTTATAATAACACAATAATCCATATGTTTAATATGTTTAATTACATCTATATATGTAGTCATGTCTACCTCTAGTCAGATGTGTGAAACAAGCCTTGAGAAATCATATAATTATACATATTTCAGGACTGAGTTATTAATCCTGTGCCAGATCCCTAGTGAAGGAACTATGTGTATTTTGCTTCCTCAATCATTGCGGTATACCACAGCTCTTACAATCAGAAATTGCACATTTTACCTTCAATTACCATTTCCTATTGTCTAAAGAAAATATACTAACACAATGTGCACAATAGGGTCTATATTCACTTCATTCTGCTGCAGATGCTATCTTATTTTCAACAGCTTTTATTTTTTAAAAAAGTGCTAGTGTTGTTTTTGTTTTTCATTTTATGAATGTGCTCAATATTTACATAATGACTCCTCTCAAAAGATGAGAGAATGAATGAGGAATAAATAAATTGCAACCTCCCTGCATAATGACTGTACCTTTAAAGATGGATCACACATGGCCATGCTTGAATGTATCCAATATATCAATATTTATTAAGCAGACAGAAAGTCAATTGAACCATAACTTGCTTTGTGCTAAGAAAGAAGAAACCCAGAAGAGGATATGGAAGGATTATTAAAGAGAAACTTAAGAACCCTACCCAAAGTCAATATCAGAAGCTCCTATCGAGTCTCTCTTTTTCACAAATCTTTATGGAATTGAATACACTATCTACACAAGGAACTGGAAAAGATAACTGAATATGAAACGGCCATGCCCTGTCAAAAAACCTTATTGAGCTCTTTAAACAAGGCTCTTCAATCTCCATTTGTAGAAATGCTCTGTACCATTTTGCATACATTGTGCAAGAATTACTAGTTAGTTATTATAGACATACATTTCGTTTCTCCAACTGGAATGCATTCTTAAGAACAAGGTCATTCTTATGTATTTTGAGTTCTGCAGAAACGTGTTTAATGAATATAAACTCGTAGATGTTGAAGAACTGATGCAGTGCATTTGAGATGTATCGTTCATATATATAAAAACAAAAACAAAATGTCACTTCTAAGTATGGCCTTACCTCCTCTTTCTTGATTATAATAAGAGTAGTATTTGTTGAATATTTTGGCTGCCAGGCGGCACAGTGCAAGCACATTCCCTAAATTAATTTTTAACTCTGACAAACCCTATGAGTTGGGTTTTATTATTTTCACTGTACAGATAAGGAAAATATGGTTTGAAACATCATATCGTTTTGCCGGAGGTTACAAAAGTAGTAATAGAAAATCACGGCATTGAACAAAGTTATTTTTTCTGATCCCACAAACCATACTTTTAGCCACCATACTACACTTCTTGGAACACATAATGATTACCTTGAAAATGATCTATATGAGCATGTTTAATTCAATAAGAGACTTAATCGTTAAAATAAATCCTCAGCTGTCACTCTCCATCTGACAATAAAAAATGTAGCCCCACCCATAGTTAAGGCATACACTTAGGTGTATTAAACATGGACATAACAAAAGCTGGAAGTATTTATGCCTAGATAGTGAGAAAAGGGGGCAAGTAATTTAACCACTTACTGCCTTATAGTCACATCTGTAATATGAATATAATTTGAGGATATTATTTTAGATTTTCTGTATGTGTTTCCTTCCTTTGTTTTCTCTTTTTCTCTTCCTTTATCCCAGCACCTACCTCATTCATTTTTCAGGAGAGGTTTGTTGCAGGGCAGATGAGAGAGAAGTAGCTTTCATTCTTTATGACTTTTGTTTTACACAAGTTTGAGCCCTAGGGGGAGGAAATTCCTTTGGCCAAGGCCAAAAATGCCTAATTTCAGATAAGAATAGCCAACTTTAGGAATGTAAAGAAAAAATATATTGCTAATATAAGTATATGAGAATAACCTTGAAAAAATACTTATTTTTACAGGAGAACAAATTTCTTTCTTTCTTTTCTTTTTGTTTTTGAGACAGAGTCTCCAACTATTGCCCAGGCTGGAGTGCCATGGCACGATCTCGGCTCACTGCAACCTCTGCCTCCCGAGTTCAAGCGAATCTCCTGCCTCAGCCTCCCGAGTAGCTGGGATTACAGACGCCTGCTACCATGCCCAGCTAATTTTTATATTTTAGTAGAGATGGGGTTTCACCATGGTCAAGCTGGTCTCAAACTCCACAAATTTCTTAAACTGAAAAATATATTTCAAAAATGTATATTTTCCTTTTCATATCAACAGGAATAATCTAATGGCTGAGCAAATGTGCAAAATTTCAACTTCCTTTGAAAAGTTACATTTCAAAATGAGGCACAATGAAAGTTAAATTTCAAAATGTAGTTAAGTAGCAGACGTTTCCAATATCCTGTGAATCTTTCATTGGCTCTGGCTCTTGCTCTCTACCATAAAATCTTTGTCCAGAAGAAAAAAAGAAGTATTATGTTATGCTTCTCTAAATTAATTAAAGACGCTAATGAAATCTTATGTAAAATCCTGAAACAGACAAGAAGTGGGATTTTTAATCCCTCCTTTCCTCACCTGGGTAGCCTGGAGGTCTTAGACTCAGTGCCTATGCAACGTAATTTGCCAACTAAAGGTGGACCCTTCTTTTGAGATGTTTAACAGGATAAGAAAGGAAATAGAATGAGGAGCACAGGAGATGCACAGTAACTGATGAACTAAATGCTAATGAAAGAGTTCCAGGAACTCTGAACAATCAAGCTCCAAGGTAACTATGACATAGGTTGAAGGTGGGGGTAGTGACAGGGACAGAAAGTTTTGAGAGTAAGTTAGGTAAGGCCCTCTGGGGCCACCATTCACTGCATGCTTTCAAGCTTAGATCAAGAATTGAGAATAGAGTCTGGGTGGGATTAGCTTTAAGAGCAGTAAAAAGGACACATCTGGCTAGGGTAAGAGTCTACATTAAGCTGCCTCCAATGGGAAGCCTTCTCTTGAGACAATTCCGTGTCACAAAAGATCCCTCAAGCTCTCCTTACTTTTCCAGTTGAGCAGTTACTGTGCATCCCCAGTGCTCCTCTTTTTACTATTTCTTTCCTTTCTTAGCCTGTTAAACATCTCAAAAGAAGGTCCACCTTTAATTTGCAAATTATATTGCAGAGGCATTGAGTCTGAGATCTCCAGGATACCCAAGTAAGGAAAGGAGGGATTAAAAATCTAACTTCTTATCTGTTTCAGGAATTCACACAAGATTTCATTTTAAAAAAAATGGACTTCCACTTTTGCACACACAAAAACATTGGTCTATTCACCCTTCATTTAATTTCTTACTGTTCATTTACTCTATAGCATCTTACAATCTACTTCCCAATCTCACTACTCAATTGAAACAATCTCTTAAAAGTCACAGCTGGACTTAATGGATAAGTCCAGCTCGTTTGCTCTTCTCAGTCCACGTACTTTCCCATCTCTCTGCTTCATTTGAAATAACTGACAGTACCCTCCTTTTAAAGAATTCTTCTTTACTTTGCCTTTCTTGGGCAATCTACTATCCTAGTTACCTCTGGCCACCCTAAAAGCTATTCCCCTGAATCCTTCGCTGAATCTCATTACTCCAGCCACTCTGTATAGGCAAAGCAATATATGTATATGGCAGGGGAAGAAATCGTGGACTTTGTAGTCTAAAGGCTTGGGATCAAACTTAGAGATTTTTAGATTTTCTACCAAACATAATTAAAATGTCACAGGGTCTTGAACACAATAGGTGCTTAGTAACTAGTTGTTAAAGAAAAGAAAAAGTAATATATTAAATGAAAACAGCCTCAGAAAAATTGTGGACATACATTTAATATGATAGATTTGCTTTGGAATTTTTTTTCATGATGTTCTTCAAGTTGAAATTCAGTTAGTTTAAAAATTTTGGTAATCTAGTTTTACAGTCCGTGAAATTTCCATAATAACTCTGTGTGAAGGAAAGATTTTTTAAAAAACCAGTTGATCCAATTTAAAAAAAAGGGTAGAGGCTGGGGTACAGATATTTTGTTTTTCAGTGTATACTATAACACACAGTTTTGTTGACTGAAATGTTTTAATGCCAGGTTAGGTATTTGAGACTTTTTCCTCAGAGTCTATATATATTTACATACCTTTTAAAAATAAATTAAATAATAGATTACATGGATATATATGATGGGTTAACTTTAACGATTCTCAACTCTCTTTTGAACACATTTTCAGACTTGAATTCATCTTCTATATTTTGAAGGGACGGTGATGTGTGTTGGTGTAGTGTTTATCTTAACTCAGATTTGATGACTGTTTCTGATGACAATAGGACATTCTTAGTATGAATAGTTGAGATGAGCAATGAATTATACTGTTATTCTGATAATTACATCAATTAGCATAATTATTCTTAAACAACTTTGAAAATAAAAAGTTTTTTCTATTTACTTTAATGGGTCTATGGCAATACCACCCTGAACGCACCCGATCTCATCTATTTACTCTAATGGTTAGGGCTGTATACACTTCACATCACTTTTAGGGGGCACTAAATGGTTTAACAAAGATCTAAGCTATGGGAAATGGATTTTTGAAATCATAAGCCATATCTTGGAATCAATTTTATTTCAACATAATATCAGTGGGTAAAATATGCCAAAATTTAAGAGGAGAGAAACAAATTTTCCATTTGTACAAAGTTACATACAAACTTATAATTTTTTGAAGAACATATTTCAAATGAATATTGTTAATGAGCTTGAAAAATTACAAGGTGAAATATTTAACTTACATATTTGAGAAAGCATTTGAAATAATTCCACTAGCCACTCAAATAATGTATTCATAGGGGCTCATTATCTTCACAATAAGCAATAACTAGAATTACCATAAAATGATATCCCTATTTATTAGTTCCCCCAAATGAGGTTCCAAGAAACAATAAAAGTTGAAAGTAAATGAGGGTGGAGTGCAGTGGCTCACACCTGTAATCCCAGCACTTTGGGATGCCGAGGCAGGCGGATCACAAGGTCAGGAGATCGAGACCATCCAGGCCAACATGATGAAACCCCATCTCTACTAAAAATACAAAAAATTAGCCGGGCGTGGTGGCAGGCGCCTATAGTCCCAGCTACTTGGGAGGCTGAGGCAGGAGAATGATGTGAACCCAGGAGGTGGAGCTTGCAGTGAGCCAAGATCCTGCCACTGCACTCCAGCCTGGGGGACAGAGAGAGACTCTGTCTAAAAAAGAAAAAAAAAAAAAGAAAGTAAATGGTCATATCAAAGCCTTGCATTACATTTTTTGAGAGCCCATTACCTGAGAACAGGAGTAAAACCTACAAGACATGGAGTTCACCATATACAGCCAACCATAATGAGGCCAGAGAAGTTACATTTAATTAATTGATGTGTATCCACTATACCTCAACAGTAAACAATAGAATGGAATCTATGTAGAAGCTCGTAGACAGACATCAGTTATAGATGCTACCTTAGCATGTTGAGTCTTCTAATAGCATTTTTCCTACTGCTGTGAAGTTATTTATTTATGTGCTTACCCTCCTAGTTTATGCACTTATAAACTTATGCTGGAAAACCTGCTCTTGCTAACTGTTCTGGTCCCAGGACCCAGCCCAAATCCTGCCACAAAGTGGACAATGAGTATTTGTTGAATGAATGATGGATTAATATATCAAACACTGTATGAGTATTATTTCTTCATCATTTGCTTTCTGATTTCAGATTTTCTATGCATTATGACCTTGGTAAGGCTTCACATCCTCGCTGATCAGCTGCTTTTGGTTTGTGTTGGGCAATGCTGCTTGGTCAGTACTGAATCCTTGATAGCCACCATCTGGCATTTCATCACCAGTGACCTAGCTCAGTTCCTAGATTCCTTCCTTGTTGCTTGCCTCTCAGGGCCTGTCTCCCTGACACAATTCTCTCTGGCCACAGAGATGTATGTGTCTTAAATTTTTAGTATTATTTCCACCATTTTTTTTTTCAATTACTGACCTGTTTGGAATCCTAACTTCTGCTCATTCCCACCCTGCATTCTTAGGCTTTTGAGTTTGGTCTATTTCAGAATGAGACATTCTTCACTTGCTTTTAACTTCTAAACATTAAACCTTTTTGGTTATAGTAAACTTAATTTCTCTAACAAGTACAAAACTCAGGCACCCTTTAGACCACCACGGAGACTCTGGCATAGTGCTTTTTGCCTCTCTTGAGAGCAAGGATCATTGAACCTGAGCCCAACCACTGTTGCCCCTACCTGCAACTTCAAACTCACTTGTTCTATCCCATCCCTCTCCCAAGACCTATTCTGGTACCTGTACATTTCAAAGCCGTAAGAAAAGAACCATAGGGGGGAAAAAAACAATGAAAATGTTAGAGGAGAATAAGAGAAAATAGAGGAGTTAGTTACAAGGGAAGAAGATAAAAATTAATTCTAGATCAGAAGTGATAAAGTAATTTTGGATAATAGAAATAAAGGTTTTGAAAATGAAAACAAAAAGTATAAGAATGAGTATAGAGACAGTAAAAAGGTTCAGCCTTCTCTTCACTCCTTTGATCCTCCCATAAGAATAAAAGGAGGGACGGTTTTATTGCAAGAGAGAAAATTGAAAGAAACGAGATTGAGAACTTAAGGAGATGGAAGATGTCTTTGAAAAACTGCTGCAAATAACTCCCCAGGGAATCAAGATGTTTTGAATTAAAACAAGAGGGTTTAGTCCAGGTGATGTTACACAGCATAAATTGCAGTTAGCCCAAACTTATTATCATAAAATGCTGAGAATGATAATGTACTTGCTAACTATTCCTATACAACAAAATAGCAACAGATGTTATTATATCATGATAAGCTTAATAGACTTTTCTCATAAACTACATTTAATCATTTCTAAATAAAGGAATAGTCAAACAGAGAATTAATACAAAAAGTAGAATAAAAATAAATGCAGTACCCAGTTTAAAAAGCAATTTTTTTTATTCTCGGTCTGCTACATTCTTTCCTGTAAAGCTAACTACTGTAACAAAATGAAGTTTGCATTTGGGTTATATCCAAGGGCACTATTCAATTTCACAATTTCCACTGTAGTTATTGTACTGATATCATTTAATTCACGTGCATAGAATCACTTTAAAAAATCAATGTCAACAATCAGGGTCCTTTATTCTTTTCCCTATGGGTATTATCTTGCCTGTCCTCAAACAACATAATAGAGAAAAAAAAATCACTGTTAAGTATAATATTAATTAAAGTGCAAAAAACCAGAATCAACATTGCACTTGCAAGATCTGGAATGGGTGACTAAAGTATAGAATATTATATATTGTCCAGGGGCAAAAACTCATGTATATACATTACATGGTAGATCTACTTCTCTACTGCATTATATATATTCAACTGGCTTAAGAATAAGTTAAAATAAATGAATACATTTAAGCTATAGTCACACAAATAATGCAAATCACACAATCTTGGACTCATATAATTCTATAATTTATAAAATGTTTGAGAGCTGTGGTCGATATTAATTAATTAATTAATTTATTTATTTATTTTTGAGACAGTCTTGCTCTGTTGCCCAGGCTGGAGTGCAGTGGCACGATCTCGTTTCACTGCAACCTCTGCCTCCTGGGTTCAAGTGATTCTCCTGCCTCAGCCTCCCGAGTAGCTGGCACTACTTTTTTTCTTTTTCTGATTTTTTCTTTTACTGATTTTTTTCTTTTTCTTTTAGTACAGACAGGGTTTGAACATGTTGTCCAGGTGGTCTTGAACAACTGGCCTTATGTGATCCATAAGCCTTGGTCTCCCGAAGTGCTGGGATTACAGGTATAAGCCACTGTCACCTGACCTGTGATCATTTTGATAAGTGATTTTTACAACAACCCAGTGGAATTATGCTCACTTTAGAAGTAAATAAATGGAATCACGGACAGGTTAAGCAAAAAGTACTATGTCAGAAAGCTAATAAATGAAGAGTCGGTATTTTGCAAGAACCTAAGTTCTCTAACTTTCAGATAGTTTTCTTGCTACTGTATTTTTTAACTTTTTAGTGCTTATCTACACATCAGTATCATCTACAAGTTCAATGAGACCCTTAGAAATCTTCTTTCATGTCTTGGCACAGTTCTTTCTCCAATTTCCAATAATAGAGTCTCCAAAGATTCCATCTCTTCAAGAATGTTAGCCCACTATTCACTTCTGTCTGGAAGACCATTATATGATCTACCACTTTGAAAACATTATAAGTTAGGAATAAATACCCAACTTGATATCTATAAAAGAACCTATATTTTTAGTCTCAAGATTTCTTCTAGACAAAACAGAGGTTTCATTTGCAGATAATTTTATTTCATTGATGTTATGTTCTTTATTGTACTTTCTCCTTTTTTACATACTATGTGCTACTAGGCTACTCTGTTACTTCAATAGGAGAACAGCAAACTTTCTGTCACTACTGCTGTTGAAATTTCATTGACAATTCTATTATCCAGAAATCCAGTTTTTACCAGTTTTCAATGAAAAGGAACAGGATCTATATTGGGACCACATTACATTTGCTGATGCCTCAATTAGCTAATCTTATCTGACAGTAGCGAAAGTAAAGTTACTCACATTTTGCATCCCTACATCACTTCCTAAGGAAGATAAGTTGTTGGCTGTTAGACTAACTCAATATAAATTCAAACTAGAGATAGAAGAAAAGCTTACACAATATTGCTTAAGATAGGTACCTCAAGTATAATGAAAAGGCTGAATTTGGACATGTTTCATTTCCTCATTACACTGTCTTAAAAGATGTGAGACAGAAAGCCTTTAAATTAGTCCAGC
The DNA here is from genome assembly GCF_000001405.40 of Homo sapiens. Taxonomy (NCBI): domain Eukaryota; kingdom Metazoa; phylum Chordata; class Mammalia; order Primates; family Hominidae; genus Homo; species Homo sapiens. Next base: position 92,300,624 of record NC_000013.11, on the reverse strand, counting down.
ACATTCTATTTATCTAATTCTCACCACTGCCTATTGATTTTATTTTCCAAGGCTTTTTGAATTAACTTCTCTTGACTGATCCATAAAGATATTTGAGTTGAATGATCAGACTCATGTGTTAGGTTAGCATAGTGCCTGAAATAGCAACATCAGTGTCATTGGAATTTGTTAGAAATGCAAATTTGGGGTCCACTCTAGGCCTACAGAACCAAATACTGATGATGGAGCCTAAAATCTATGCTTTAACACACTCTCCAGGTGATTCTACTGTAGCTAAAGTTTGAGAACCACTGCTTTAGTATTAAAAAGGTGGAATTGGAGAGAACCCAAACTCTCTAAAGAGAGTTTTGGAAAGAAAATCAGAGAAATTGGTGCAGTGTGTTTTGCAATGTAGGTCTTTAGGAACCAAGCTTCCCTGTGTATGTGTTTACCCTCACGACAACATTCCGAGACAATATCCATTGTTCTATAGTCTGCAAATGGAAAGTGTGCTTCTAGAAAACCTGTGTTCGGAAGAGAATAAGGAGTTTCAACTTTATGTGGTTTCTAACTAAAAGGAATATAGTTTCATTCCTTATGGAGAGATTAATCAATTATTTTCAGAAAGAGTTTGATTTAAAAAACAGTAACAATGGTTTTGGGGTGAGCAAAGTAAGGAAGGAACACTCCTTACAGAACATCCTCACAAACCTCCTTTTTCACAAGCCTCAGGCTGACAGCAATATAATTTGCATATTGTAAAAATGATACAATATAATCATACACTAACAACGTAGAAGCTTTTACTATGTATAAAATATTTAGATTTAAAAAACCACTTTCTACAATAAAACTCAAAGAAATCATTACTGATGACTTCTTAGTAAGTTAAATGTACACAATTTTAGATACATAGGATGACAACACATGGTTACAAGAATTTTTAAACTAGAATAGTAATCCTTTTACTTTTTGGGGGGCTTCAGGAATAATTATAGTTAAAGATCATCTGAAAAAAGATAAATCTTCCTATAAATTTTAACTGAATTATGTCATTGGTTTTTTACACTATCTACATAATTTTTTTGTAATGACAGAAATATGTTACTAGTATGATCATTCTCAGAAATTTCAGTATTTTCATTTACAAGTAGTTGTTAGTATTGGAAAGTGGCATTTATAAATCTGAATGTTAATTACAGTCATTATTCATAGTCACTTCTCTTTTGGAGGTCTGGATAACGACCCTAGTGTTTCACCTTTCTTTGAATAGATAATGAACCACCAAAGGCTTTCTCCTAAGTAAAGCAGCTGCCGTCAAGAGACTTTCATTATTCCAAAAATTGATTAAGTTGACATATGGTTTATCATGTGGAAGTTTGCTTCGAATTTCTGAACTATGTCTTTAAAAATCAATATCCATAAAGATCTTTGTTGTAAGTTGTGGGACAAAAGAAAAAAAAGGCTGTGAGGCCTTTTAAGAGTTGGAGTGACATACATCACGTATTTCAAACTTTTATTTCCATTTCCCTTAAAGGCACTCTTTACAATTCCATAAGTTATTTTAACACACTGAAAACCAAAATTTTATAAAATTTTCTCTAACTATGGATCTAATTAAGAGATTTCCAATTTCAGATTCACGGCTTATTTGTATTTCTATTCAAAAAAATTATTGCTAAAATTTGTTTTCATCAGCAAGTGTCCAAAGTAAAAGGATTGTTTCACCTTAATTATGATTTGCATTTATGGAAAAATGCTGTAAATAAAAATAATGATCTCATCCGCAGATCATGGCGGACGAGAGGCAGGACGAGATTACAGCTCTCACTGGGACAGACAGAGCAGCGTGTGGAGGCTTGCATCAGGAATTTTTGCTCCAGAATGACTACAGGAATAAATCAGGAAACCTGAGACGACCCACACACCCCCTAAAGGAAGCAGATTGCTCCTGCAGGACCCAGGAGATACCCCAAATACTGTGAGTACCCAAACTGTGGAAGCGGGAAAGGGAGATTGTCCTCTCCTGAACACACACCCCCAGGGGGAAAACTGAAGGCCCAGATTATGGGAGAAGATTTTTACTGTACCTCGAGCTGAGTTAATTTAGAGAGCCAAGCCAAACACAGGGGTAGAGGAAGCAGCGGGAAAATCCCTGCGGGCTTGCTGAGTCCCCTAGCAAGCTGTTTTTGCCTGGCCTCACAGGGGTCCTTCTAGAAGGTGGCCAGAGGCACTGGGAAAAGTCCACAGGGAGAAGGAAACCTCCGGTTGAATTTTGTAACAATTTGAACTGATTGAGAAGCCTCCTGAACAGAACTTGGGGGAGGGCATGAATCTGGCGTGCAGAATCCACAGTCAGGGGAAGGAGGAAAGCCGTATTTACTTTCGCAGCTGGGAGGCGGGGAGCCTAGGACAAGTTCTCAGCCCTGCTCCCCCACTGCCTGGAAACAGACTGGGTGCTGTGGGCGAGGGGGCACGGCAGGAGTGAGACTGGCCCTTCGGATTGTGTGGGAGCTGGGTGAGGCCTGTGAGTGCTGGCTTTTCCCCACTTCCCTGACAACCTGCATAACACAGTGGAGACAGTCATGATCCTCCTAGTGTGTCCGGAATTGGTGGGTTCTTGGTCTCACTGACTTCAAGAATGAAGCCGCGGACCCTCGTGGTGAGTGTTACAGCTCTTAAGGTGGCACATCTGGAGTTGTTCGTTCCTCCCAGTGGGCTCGTGTTCTCGCTGGGCTCAGGAGTGAAGCTGCAGATCTTCGCGGTGAGTGTTACAGCTCATAAAAGCAGCGTGGACCCAAAGAGTGAGCAGTAGCAAGAGCAAAAGAACAAAGCTTCCACAGTGTGGAAGGGGACCCGAGCGGGTTGCCAATGCTGGCTCGGGCAGCCTGCTTTTATTCTCTTATCTGGCCCCACCCACATCCTGCTGATTGGTAGAGCCGAGAGGCCTGTTTTGTCAGGGCGCTGATTGGTGCGTTTACAATCCCTGAGCTAGATACAAAGCTTCTCCAAGTCCCCATCAGATTAGTTAGATACAGAGTTTCGACACACAGGTTCTCCAAGGCCCCACCAGAGCAGCTAGATACAGAGTGTCGATTGGTGCATTCACAAACCTTGAGCTAAACACAGGGTGCTGATTGGTGTGTTTACAAACCTTGAGCTAGATACAGAGTGCCGATTGGTGTATTTACAATCCTTGAGCTAGACATAAAGGTTCTCCACGTCCTCACCAGAGCAGCTGGATACAGAGTGTCGATTGGTGCACTCACAAACCTTGAGCTAAACACAGGGTGCTGATTGGTGTGTTTACAAACCTTGAGCTAGATACAGAGTGCCGATTGGTATATTTACAATCCCTGAGCTAGATATAAAGGTTCTCCACGTCCTCACCAGAGCAGCTAGGTACAGAGTGTCGATTGGTGCACTCACAAACCTTGAGCTAAACACAGGGTGCTGATTGGTGTGTTTACAATCCCTGAGCTACATATAAAGACTCTCCACATCCCCACCAGACTCAGGAGCCCAGCTGGCTTCACCTAGTGGATCCCGCACAGGGGCTGCAGGTGGAGCTGCCTGCCAGTCCTGCGCCATGCGCTTGCATTCCTCAGCCCTTGGGTGGTCAATGGGACTGGGTGCCATGGAGCAGGGGGTGGTGCTCGTCGGGGAGGCTCGGGCCACACAGGAGCCCATGGAGGGGGTGGGAGGCTCAGGCATGGCGGGCTGCAGGTCCCGAGCCCTGCCCTGCGGGAAGGCAGCTAAGGCCCGGCGAGAAATCGAGCACAGCGCCAGTGGGCCGGCACTGCTGGGGGACCCAATACACCCTCCGCAGCCACTGGCCTGGGTGCTAAGTCCCTCATTGCCCGGGGCCAGCAGGGCTGGCTGGCTGCTCCAAGTGCGGGGCCCACCAAGCCCACGCCCACACGGAACTCCAGCTGGCCCGCAAGCGCCGCACGCAGCCCCGGTTCCCGCTCGCGCCTCTCCCTCCATACCTCCCTGCAAGCTGAGGGAGTGGGCTCCAGCCTTGGCCAGCCCAGAAAGGGGCTCCCACAGTGCAGTAGGGGGCTGAAGGGCTCCTCAAATGCCACCAAAGTGGGAGCCCAGGCAGGGGTGGTGCTGAGAGCAAGCGAGGGCTCTGAGGGCTGCCAGCATGCTGTTACCTCTCACTAGGAACATAACTCCATTGACCTGGGAATCTCACCCCCATCCCCCACAGCAGCAGCAGCAAGACCTGCCCAAGGACAGTCTGAGCTCAGACATGCTTAGCTCTACCCCCACCCAGTGGCCCTTCCCTACCCACCCTAGTAACTGAAGACTCTTGGGAGTTTAAGGGCCCCACCCAACGTTGTTCCTCCCCATACTACCACAGCTGATGCTCTCTGGAAAATGCCACCTCCTGGCGGGAGGCTAACCAGCACAAAAATAGTGCATTAAACCACCAAAGCTAAGAATCCTCACAGAGTTCATTTCTCCCCTCTACCTCTGCCACCAGAACAGGTGCTGGTATACATGGCTGAGAGACCTACAGACAGTAGGTCTTGTTCTATTTTGCACATCAAAATAGAATCTCTCTAAAGCATGAATCTCACAGGACATATAAAACAAAAATACAACTTAAAAAACAAAAAACCAAGGTACACAGGCAACAAATAGCATGATGAATGGAATGGTACCTCACATTTCATACTAGTGTTGAATGTAAACAGCCTAAACACTCCACTTAAAAGATACAGAATTGCAGAACGAGTAAGAATTCACCAGCCATCTGCTGCGTTCAAGAGACTTACCTAACGCATAAGGACTCACACAAACTTAAGGTAAAGGGGGTAGAAAAAGACATTTCAGGCAAATGGACACCAAAAATGAGCAGGAGTAGCTATTCTTATGTCAGACAAAACAGGCTTTAAAGCAACAGGAGTTAAAAGAGACAAAGAGGGACATTATATAATGATAAAAGGCCTTGTCCAACAGAAAACTGTCACAATTCTAAACATATATGCACCTAATACTGGAGCTCCCAAGATTATAAAACAATTACTAATAGATCTAAGAAATGAAATAGGCAGCAACATAATAATAGTGGGGGACTTCAATACTCCACTGACAGCACTAGACAGGTCATCAAGACAGAAAGTCAACAAAGAAACAATGGATTTAAACTATGCCCTGGAACAAATGGACCACATGGCACTTTCTTCAAGATAGACCTACGATAGGACACAAAATGAGCCTCAATAAATTTTAAAAAATTGAAATTATATCAAGCACTCTCACAGACTACAGTGGAAAAAAACTGGAAATCAACTCCAAAAGAAACCTTCAAAACCATGCAAATACATAGAAATTAAATAGCCTGTTCCTGAATGATCATTGGGTCAAAAATGAAATCAGGATAGAAATTTAAAAACTTTTCGAACTGAATGACAATAGTGATGCAACCTATCAAAACCTCTGGGACACAGCAAAGGTGGTGCTAAGAGGAAAGTTCATAGCCCTAAGTGCCTACATCGAAAAGTTTGGGCCGGGCATGGTGGCTCACACCTGTAATGTCAGCATTTTGGGAAGCCAAGGCAGGTATATCACCTGAGGACAGGAGTTTGAGACCAGCCTGGCCAACATGGTGAAACCTCATCTCTACTAAAAATACAAAAATTTAGCCAGGCATGATGGCAAGCACCTGTAATACCAGCTACTCGGGAGGCTGAGGCAGGAGAATCGCTTGAACCGGGAGGCAGAGGTTGTAGTGAGCCAAGATCATGCCATTGCACTACAGCCTGGGCAACAACAGCGAAACTCCATCTCGGAAAAAAAAAAAAAAAAAAGAAAAAAAAAAAAGAAAGAAACAGCACAAACAGATAATCTAAGGTCACACCTCAAGGAACTAGAGAAACAAGAACAAACCAAACCCAAACACAGCAGAAGAAAGGAAATAACCAAGATTAGAGCAGAATTAAGTGAAATTGAAAGCAACAAAACAGATAAATGAAACGAAATAGCTGGTTCTTTGAACAGGTAAATAAAACTGATAGGCCATTAACAAGATTAACCAAGAAAGAAAAAGAGAGAAAATCCAAAACAGCTCAATAAGAAATGAAATGGGAGATATTACAACTGACACCACAGAAATACAGAAGATCACTCAAGGCTACTATGAACACATTTACATGCATAAACTAGAAAACCTAGAAGAGATGGATAAATTCCTGGAAAGATACAACCCTCCTAGCTTAAATCAGGAAGAATTAGATACCCTGAACAGACCAATAACAAGCAGAGAGATTGAAATGGTAATTTAAAAATTATCAACAACAACAACAAAAAACTCCAGGACCAGACGGATTCACAGTTGAATTCTACCAGACATTCAAAGAAGAATTGGTACCACTCCTATTGACAGTATTCCACAAGATAAAGAAAGAGGGACCCCTCCCCAAATCATTCTATGAAGCCAGTATCACACTAATACCAAAACCAGGAAAGGACATAACCAAAAAAGAAAACTACAGACTGATATCCCTGATGAACACAGATGCTAAAATCCTTAACAAAATACTAGGTAACCAAATTCAACAACATATCAGAAAGACAATCCAACATGATCAAGTAGGTTTCATACCAGGGATGCAAGAATGGTTTAACACACACAAGTCAATAAATGTGATATACCACATAAACAGAATTAAAAACAAAAAAACATATGATCATCTCAATAGACTCAGAAAAAGATTTTGACAAAATCCATTATTGCTTTATGATTAAGACTTTCAGCAAAATCTGCATACAAGGGACATAGCTCAATATAATAAAAGCCATCCATGACAAACCCAGAGCCAACATAATATTGAATGGGAAAAAGTTGAAACCATTCCCTCTGATAACTGGAACAAGACAAGGATGCCCACTCTCACCACTCCTCTTCAACATAGTACTGGAAGTCCTAGCCAGAGCAGACAAGAGAAAGAAATACAGCGCATCCAAATTGGTAATGAGGAAGTCAAAGTGTCGCTGTTTGCTGACAATATGATCGTTTACCTAGAAAACCCTAAAGACTCCTCCAGAAAGCTCCTAGAACTGATAAAATAATTCAGCAAAGTCTCTGGATACAAAATTAATGCACACAAACAAGTATCTTTTCTTACACACTGACAGCGACCAAGCTTAGAATCAAATCAAGAACTCAACCTTTTACAATAGCTGCCAAAAAAAAAAAAAAAAAAAAAAAAAAAGAAACCAACCAACCAACCTTAGGAGTATACCTAACCAAAGAGGTGAAAGACCTCTACAAGGAAAACTTCAAAACACTGCTGAAAGAAATCACAGATGACACAAACAAATGGAAACACATCCTATGCTCATGGATGGGTAGAGTCAATATTGTGAAAATGACCATACTGCCAAAGCAATCTACAAATTCAACATAATTCCCATCAAAATACCACCAACATTCTTCAAGAATTAGAAAAAAAAATTCTAAAATTCATATGGAACTGAAGAAAAGCCCACATAGCCAAAGCAAAACTAAACAAAAATAACTAATCTGGAGGCATCACCATTACCTAATTTCAAACTATACTATAAAGCCATAGTCACCAAAACAGCATGGTACTGGTATAAAAATAGACACATAGACCAGTGAAACAGAACAGACCACCAAGAAATAAACCCAAACATTTACAGCCAACTGATCTTCAACAAAGAAAAGAAAAATATAAAGTGGGGAAAGGACACTCTTTTCAACAAATGGTGCTGGGATAATTGGCTAGCCACATGTAGGAGAATGAAACTGGATTCTCATCTCTCAACTCATACAAAAATCAACTCAAGATAGATTAAGCACTTAAATATAAGACCTGAAACTATAAAAATTCTAGAATATAACATTGGAAAAACTTCTAGACACTGGCTTAGGCGAAGTTTTCATGACCAAGAACCCAAAAGCAAATGCAACAAAAACAAAGATAAACTGCTGAGACTTAATTAAACTAAAGAGCTTTTGCGCGGCAAAAGAAATAGCCGAGTAAACAGACAACCCACAGAGTGGGAAAAAAACCTTCACAATCTATACATCTGACAAAGGACTAGTATCTAGAATCTACAATGAACTCAAATCAACAAGAAAAAAAAATCCCATCAAAAAGTGGGCTAAGGACATGAATAGACAATTCTCAAAAGATGATACACAAATGGCCAACAAATGTAAGAAAAAATGCGCAACATTACTAATGATCAGGGAAATGCAAATCAAAACCACAACACAATACCACCTTACTCCAGCAACAATGGCTGTAATCAAAAGAATAATAGATGGTGGCATGGATGAGGTGAACAGGGAACACTTCTACACTGCTGGTGGGAATGTACACTAGTACAATTGCTATGGGAAGCAGTGTGGAGATTCCTTAAAGAACTAAAAGTAGAGCTACCATTTGATCCAGCAATCCCACTACTGGGTATCTACTTAGAGGAAAAGAAGTCATTATATGAAAAAGATACTTGCATATGCATGTTTACAGCAGCACAATTTGCAATTGCAAAAATGTGGAACCAACCCAAATGCCCATCAATCAACAAGTGGATAAAGAAACTATGGTATATATGTGTCCGGAATTGGTGGGTTCTTGGTCTCACTGACTTCAAGAATGAAGCCGCGGACCCTTGTGGTGAGTGTTACAGTTCTTAAAGGCAGCGTGTCCGGAGTTTGTTCTTTCTGATGTTTGGATGTGTTCAGAGTTTCTTCCTCCTGGTGGGGTTGTGGTCTCACTGGCTCAAGAGTGAAGCTGCAGACCTTCGTGGTGAGTGTTACAGCTCTTAAGGCAGTGCGTCTGGAGTTGTTCGTTCCTCCCGGTGGGTTTGTGGTCTCGCTGGCTTCAGGAGTGAAGCTACAGACCTTCAGGGTGAGTGTTACAGCTCATAAAGGCAGTGTGGACCCAAAGAGGGAGTAGCAGCAAGATTTATTGCAAACAGCAAAAGAACAAAGCTTCGACATTGTGGAAGGGGACCCTAGCGGGTTGCCACTGCTGGCTCCAGCAGCCTGCTTTTAGTCTCTTATTTGGCCCCACCCACATCCTGCTGATTGGTCCATTTTACAGAGAGCCAGAGTGGTCTGTTTTGACAGGGTGCTGATTGGTGCGTTTACAATCCCTGAGCTAGACACAGAGGTTCTCCATGTCCCCACTAGATTAGCTAGATACAGTGTCGATTGGTGCATTCACAAACCCTGAGCTAGACACAGGGTGCTGATTGGTGTGTTTACAAATCTTGAGCTAGATACAGAGTGCCGATCGGTGTACTTACAATCCCTTAGCTAGACATAAAGGTTCTCCAAGTCCCCTCCAGACTCAGGAGCCCAGCTGGCTTCACCCAGTGGATCCTGCACAGGGCGGCAGGTGGAGCTGCCTGTCAGTCCCGTGCCATGCGCCCGCACTCCTCAGCCCTTGGGTGGTCGATGGGACTGGGCACAGTGGAGCAGGGGGTGGCGCTCCTCGGGGAGGCTCCGGCCGCACAGGAGCCCACGGAGCAGTGGGGAGGCTCAGGCATGGCGGGCTGCAGGTCCCAAGCCCTGCCTAGCGGAAAGGCAGCTAAGGCCCGGCGAGAAATTGAGCACAGCAGCTGCTGGCCCAGGTGCTAAACCCCTCACTACCTGGGGCCAGCGGGGCTGGCAGGCCCTTCCAAGAGTGGGGCCTGCCGAGCCCAGGCCCACCCAGAACTCACGCTGGCCCACAAGCACTGTGCGCAGCCCCGGTTTCCGCCAGCGCCTCTCCCTCCACACCTCCCCGCAAGCTAAGGGAGCCAGCTCCAGCCCTGGCCAACCCAAAAAGGGGCTCTCACAGTGCAGCAGCGGGCTGAAGGGCTCCTCAAGTGCCGCCAAAGTGGGAGCCCAGACAGAGGAGGCGCCGAGAGCGAGCGAGAGCTGTGAGGACTGCCAGCACGCTGTCACCTCTCATGTATATATGCAATGGAATACTACTCAGCCATAAAAAGGAATGAGTTAATGGCATGCACAGCTACCTGGATGAGATTGGAGACTCATTCTAAGTGAAGTAACTCAGGAATGGAAAACCAAACATCCTATGTTCTCCCTCATAAGTGGGAGCTAAGCTATGAAGATGCAATGACATAAGAATGACACAGTGGACTTTGGGGACTTGGGGAAAGGGTCAGAAGGGGGTGAGGAAAAAAAGACTACAAATAGGGTGCAGTGCATAGTGTTTGGGTGACGGGTGCGCCAAAATCTCAAAAATCACCACTAAAGAACTTACTGATGTAACCAAACACAACCTGTTCCTCAATAACCTATGGAAATTAAATAAATAAATAAAAATATAAGTCAAATCCACTTCCTCATACAATTTAGATGATATAGGATTAGATTCCTCACTAAGTGTCTATTGCTTAAATTTTTACAGCAATAGCCAAAAGTATGTTGCATAATCAATTACCAACTACGTATCTGTAGATTTGATTTTGTTGAAAGTCCCACATATATAAAGCAATTCAAAATTAAGAACATTACCTTAAAATTGTATAACAGTTTTTATTTTATAGTACTATCAGACACAAATCCCATAATTGCCAGTTGAATAAGTATTTAGTGTGGTTCAGTATCATAAACTGGATGTGTGCATAGTGTATATTTTTTAAAACCAATCTTCCTGTTCCAGCTAGAGTTTTCCCTCAACAATTTAAAAGGAATATAAGGTTTGGTATAACAAAATTTAAAAGAATTTTCTTTAGAATGGATATTTGTTAGGTCTCTTTGAAAAATACTTCAGGGAATTTTTAGGCAGATTATGAGCTTTTGAAAAATGTATATAAAATAAAAATATAAAAATATATAGAGAAGAGTGAATTTCACTGGTGTTTAAAATATTAGTACTATGGAAAAAGGAGGATGATACTTTGATATCAGCATATCTACTTCATTATTAAGTGGATGACATTCATATTGAGAAAAGTTAGTGGTGAAGCGTACTCATCCTCATAGATTTACTATGATTATTATTTGAGATAATCCATAAAAGGCAATTAACATAGTTCCTGATACATAGTTATTATTAACTAATATTAGAATTATTATTCATAAACATATTGCAGTATATATGGTAAAGAAATAAAATGTTTTCACAGAATTCATGTGGCCTTAATGTATATGTTATTTTAAAAGTTATTAAATGTTATTAAATAATTCATGATATTTAACATAAGTCATTCATAAGCCTTAATTCACGTTATTGAGAAAATAAATTAAATCTTTGATATACAGTGTTTATTAAATTCTATATTCTCTTTCTCCTTTTTAATGGAATTATCATTATTATAGAAAGAAATACTTAAGCAAGGGCTGTTGGCAGGGGTGGGGGTTGGGACTGGGGTGGAAGGTAGAGGCAGATGGATAAATACATTCTAAAATTAATGCCATTAAATTTTACACCTACCAAGGAGTCTTCCAATGTAATTACCAGTCTTTCATTCATTTTGGTATTTATATATTAATTTAGGCCAGATAGCTTCCAATTACTTCCTTGAATACTCCTACTCTTATTAGGGCTTTTTTTTTTTTGGTAATTTATTATTCTCCTGTTGACATAAATGGAAGAATTAAAAGCAAGAAAACATGGAGATCACTTTCAGTATTCACAGATGACATCTACAAGTTTTTCTACAAACCTATACAGAAAAATGGTAAAGTTGGTAGTAATGGTTCAACGATGTATCACATGCCTGGGTGGTAGAGAAATTTCCTCTAAATAACCTCTTGATACATTTGGAGGGGACTTTATGAAACCAGTTGATGGTCTTGGGAAACTGTTATCAAGGGCCAAATTTTAGGTAAGCATAAAGAACTAAAATAATAATCTAAGTGTGTTATATACTATTTTTTAAAACGACCATCACTTTTTGATAACAAAAGTGTTTTGGCAGAATGGTATCACAGAAGATGGCATGGTAGGAAGCATCAATAATCACTCCCTCCCCAAAACATCTATTCTGGTGGCAAGACTGTCAGAATCAACTACTGAGAAACTCTGAAGTAAAGTCAAACACTGGTATTGTCCAGGGGAGTGCCTGATTAAGATAGAGGCTGGTATTTTAGGAATTTTCTGTCAAGTCACTTCATTAGCTGACTATAGTCACAATAGAAGAGATTTCCGTGACCACATATGACAATGAATACAGTCCTTATGAAAACAGTTTGGACAAGTAACTGAACAAATGATAACTACAGCCCTCAGCAGGCAGTATCAACAATCCCTAGGAAAGAGAGAATCTGAATTCCAGAGTTACCACATTACAAAATCCAAAATGTTCAAATTCTAACAAAAATACTATAAAACAGAGAGAGAAACATTCATTCACAAAAATAAAAGAAATCAAGAGGAAACATCTCTGAGGATGTCCAGACATTGGTCATATTAGAAAAACAATTTCAGTTAATTGCCTTAAATATGATCAAATATATGAAGAAAATCATAGAAAGAAACTAAAGAAAATCAACAGAAACATGAATTAAAGAGAAAATATCAACAAACAGATAGGGATTTAAATAGAAATTATGAAGAGAGATTTAAATAGATATAATAGAGCTGAAAAGTGCGATAGATAAAAAAATTCCTGGAGATTTTAGCAGATGTAAGGAAGAATCTGCTATTGAAGATAGACTGGACAACTGGAATTGTCCAGTGTGAAAATAAAAAAGAATGAAGGAAAATGAACAGAGCCCACGAGATGTATGGGACACCATCAAGCATACCAGTGTATGTATTATGGGACTCCCTGAAGAAGAGAAAAAGGAGCTGAAAAAAATACTTAAAGAAATACAGGCTAACAAGTTTCCAAATTTGATGGAAGACATGAACCAACACATCAAAGAAGCTCAACAAGCTACAAGCAGGATCTTACACTGAGACACATTATAACCAAACTTTCCAAAGCCAAATACAAAAAGAAAACCTAGAAAGCAGCAAGAAAAGCAACTTGTCATGTGTAAGGACCTTTCAATATAATTGACAGCCAGTGTCTTACCAGGAACTCTGAAAGCTGTAGGACCCTGAGATGATATATTTAAGCTACTGATTCATCAAGATAAAACAATTAGAAATATATATGCAGCAAATAAAAGAGCTTCAATATGTATGAGGCACACTTTGACATAATTAAAGAAAAAAATACACAATTCTACAATAATAATTGGAGACTTCAAACCCTACTTTTACTAATGAATAGAACAAAGAGCATTAAGACAATAGAAGGCTTGAAAAACCTTGTAAGCAAAGTAGACCTTACAGACACTTAAAGAACACGCCACAGAACAACCACAAAATGAACATTATTCTCCAGTGTACAAGGAACATTCTCTGGAATAGACCATATGTTTATCCATAAAACAACTTTCAAGATATGTTTAAAGACAGAAACTATACAAAGTACATTCTCTGAACACTATGGACTGAAGCAAAACTGTAAAAAACTAGAAAAGTCAAAAACATATGAAAATTAAGAAAACACACTTAAACAGTTAATGAGTCTCCATTAGTTTGTTAGGCTGCCATAAAAAATTACTATAGACTTGGTGGATTAAGCAACAAAAAATTATCTTCTCTGTAGATCTGGAGGCTACAAGTCCAAGATAAAGGTGACAACATGGTTGGTTTCTTCTGAGGGCCTCTAGCGTTGGCTTGCATATGGCCATCTTGTACCTACACATGGTTTTTCTTCCGTGTATTTTCATGCCATATTTTTTTCTTTTTTACTAGTGATATTTTAATTGTATTTTAAGTTCTAGGGTACATGTGCACAATGTGCAGGTTTGTTACATATGTATACATGTGCCATGTTGGTGTGCTGCACCCATTAACTCATCATTTACATTAGGTATCTCTCCTACTGCTATCCCTCCCCCCTCCCCCAACCCCACAACAGGCCCCAGTGTGTGATGTTCCCCTTCCTGTGTCCAAGTGTTCTCATTGTTCAATTCCCACCTATAAGTGAGAACATGCGGTATTTGGTTTTTTGTCCTTGAGATAGTTTGCTGAGAATAATGGTATCCAGCTTCATCCATGTCCCTACAAAGGATATGAACTCATTCTTTTTGATGGCTGTATAGTATTCCATGGTGTATATGTGCCACATTTTCTTAATCCAGTCTATCATTGATGGACATTTGGGTTGGTTCCAAGTCTTTGCTATTGTGAATAGTGCCGAAATAAACATACATGGGCATGTGTCTTTATAGCAGCATGATTTGTAATCCTTTGGGTATATACCCGTAATGGGATGGCTGGGTCAAATGGTATTTCTAGTTCTAGATCCTTGAGGAGTCGCCACACTGTCTTCCACAATGGTTGAACTAGTTTACAATCCCACCAACAGTGTAAAAGTGTTCCTATTTCTCCACATCTTCTCCAGCACCTGCTGTTTCCTGACTTTTTAATGATCACCATTCTAACTGGTGTGAGATGGTATCTCATTGTGGTTTTGATTTGCATTTCTCTGATGGCCAGTGATGATGAGCATTTTTTCACGTGTCTGTTGGCTGCATAAAGGTCTTCTTTTGAGAAGTGTCTCTTCATATCCTTCGCCCACTTGTTGGGGTTGCTTTTTTCTTGTAAATTTCTTTGAGTTCTTTGTAGATTCTGGATATTAGCCCTTTGTCAGATGAGTAGATAGCAAAAATTTTCTCCCATTCTGTAGGTTGCCTGTTCACTCTGATGGTAGGTTTTTTTTTGCTGTGCAGAAGCTCTTTAGTTTAATTAGATCCCATTTGTCAATTTTAGCTTTTGTTGCCATTGCTTTTAGTGTTTCAACATGAAGTCCTTGCCCATGCCTATGTCCTGAATGGTGTTGCCTAGGTTTTCTTCTAGGGTTTTTATGGTTTTAGGTCTAACATTTAAGTCTTTAATCCATCTTGAATTAATTTTTGTATAAGGTGTAAGGAAGGGAACCAGTTTCAGCTTTCCACATATGGCTAGCCAGTTTTCCCAGCACCATTTATTAAATAGGGAATCCTTTCCCCATTGCTTGTTTTTGTCAGGTTTGACAAAGATCAGATGGTTGTAGATGTGTGGTATTATTTCTGAGGGCTCTGTTCTGTTCCATTGGTCTATATCTCTGTTGTGGTACCACTACCATGCTGTTTTGGTTACTGTAGCATTGTAGTATAGTTTGAAGTCAGGTAGTGTGATGCCTCCAGCTTTGTTCTTTTGGCTTAGGATTGAGTTGGCAATGTGGGCTCTTTTTTGGTTCCATATGAACTTTAAAGTAGTTTTTTCCAATTCTGTGAAGACAGTCATTGGTAGCTTGATGGGGATGGCATTGAATCTATAAATTACCTTGGGCAGTATGGCCATTTTCATGTTATTGATTCTTCCTATCCATGAGCATGGAATGTTCTTCCATTTCTTTGTGTCTTCTTTTATTTCATTGAACAGTGGTTTGTAGTCCTCCTTGAATAGGTCCTTCACGTCCCTTGTAAGTTGGATTCCTAGGTATTTTATTCTCTTTGAAGCAATTGTGAATGGGAGTTCACTCATGATTTGGCTCTGTTTGTCTGTTATTAGTGTATAAGAATGCTTGTGATTTTTGCACATTGATTTTGTATCCTGAGACTTTGCTGAAGTTGCTTATCAGTGTAAAGAGATTTTGGGCTGAGACGATGGGGTTATCTAGATATACAATCATGTCATCTGCAAACAGGGACAATTTGACTTCCTCTTTTCCTAATTGAATACCCTTTATTTATTTCTCCTGCCTGATTACCCTGGCCAGAACTTCCAACACTACGTTGAATAGGCGTGGTGAGAGAGGGCATCCCTGTCTTGTGCCGGGTTTCAAAGGGAATGCTTCCAGTTTTTGCCCATTCAGTATGATATTGATTGTGAGTTTGTCATAAATAGCTCTTATTATTTTGAGATACTTCTCATCAACACCTAATTTGTTCAGAGTTTTTAGCATGAAGGGCTGTTGAATTTTGTCAGAGGCGTTTTCTGCATCTATTGAGATAATCATGTGTTTTTTGTCTTTGGTTCTGTTTATATGCTGGTTTATGTTTATTGATTTGTGTATGTTGAACCAGCCTTGCATCCCAGGGATGAAGCCCACTTGATCATGGTGGATAAGCTTTTTGACGTGCTGCTGGATTTGGTTTGTCAGCATTTTATTGAGGATTTTTGCATTGATGTTCATCAGGGATATCGGTCTAAAATTCTCTTTTTTTTGTTATGCCTCTGTCAGGCTTTGGTATCAGGATGATGCTGGCCTCATAAAATGAGTTAGGGAAGATTCCCTCTTTTTCTAATGATTGGAATAGTTTCAGAAGGAATGGAACCAGCTCCTCCTTGTACCTCTAGTAGAACTCGGCTCTGAATCCGTCTGGTCCTGGACTTTTTTTTGGTTGGTAGGCTATTAATTATTGACTCAATTTCAGAGCCTGTTATTGGTCTATTCAGGGATTCAACTTCTTCCTGGTTTAGTCTTGGAAGGGTGTATGTGTCCAAGAATTTGTCCATTTCTTCTAGATTTTCTAGTTTATTTGCATAGAGGTGTTTCATAGTATTCTCTGATGGTAGTTTGTATTTCTGTGGGATCAGTGGTGATATCCCCTTTATCATTTTTTATTGTGTCTATTTGATTCTTCTTTTCTTCTTTATTAGTCTTGCTAGCGGTCTATCAATTTTGTTGATCTTTTCAAAAAACCAGATCCTGGATTCATTGATTTTTTGAAGGGTTTTTTGTGTCTCTATCTCCTTCAGTTCTGCTCTGATCTTAGTTATTTCTTGCCTTCTGCTAGCTTTTGAATGTGTTTGCTCTTGCTTCTCTAGTTCTTTTAATGTGATGTTAGGGTGTCAATTTTAGATCTCTCCTGCTTTCTCTTGTGGGCATTTAGTGCTAAAAATTTCCCTCTACACACTGCTTTAAATGTGTCCCACAGATTCTGGTATGTTGTGTCTTTGTTCTCATTGGTTTCAAAGAACATCTTTATTTCTGCCTTCATTTTGTTATGTACCCAGTAGTCATTCAGGAGCAGGTTGTTCAGTTTCCATGTAGTTGAGCGGTTTTGAGGGAGTTTCTTAATCCTGAGTTCTAGTCTGATTGCACTGTGGTCTGAGAGACAGTTTGTTATAATTTCTGTTCTTTTACATTTGCTGAGGAGTGCTTTACTTCCAACTATGTGGTCAATTTTGGAATAAGTGTGATGTGGTGCTGAGAAGAACGTATATTCTGTTGATTTGGGGTGGAGAGTTCTGAAGATGTCTATTAGGTCCCCTTGGTGCAGAGCTGAGTTTAATTCCTGGATATCTTTGTTAACTTTCTGTCTTGTTGATCTGTCTCATGTTGACAGTGGGGTGTTAAAGTCTCACATTATTATTGTGTGGGAGTCTAAGTCTCTTTGTAGGTCTCTAAGGACTTGCTTTATGAATCTGGTTACTCCTGTATTGGGTGCATATATATTTAGGATATTTAGCTCTTCTTATTGAATTGATCCCTTTACCATTATGTAATGGCCTTCATTGTCTCTTTTGACCTTTATTGGTTTAAAGTCTGTTTTATCAGAGACCAGGATTGCAACCACTGCATTTTGGTTTTCCATTTGCTTGGTAGATCTTCCTCCATCCCTTTATTTTGAGCCTATGTGTGTCTCTGCATGTGAGATGGGTCTCCTGAATACAGCACACTGATGGGTCTTGACTCTTTTATCCAATTAGCCAGTCTGTGTCTTTTAATTGGAGCATTTAGCCCATTTACATTTGAGGTTAATATTGTTATGTGTGAATTTGATCCTGTCATTATGATGTTAGCTGGTTATTTTGCTCACTAGTTGATGTAGTTTTTTCCTAGCATCGATGGTCTTTACAATTTGGCATGTTATTGCAGTGGCCGGTATCTTTTGTTCCTTTCCATGTTTAGTGTTTCCTTCCTGAACTCTTGTAGGGCAGGCCTGGTGGTGACAAAATCTCTCAGCATTTGCTTGTCTGTAAAGCATTTTATTTCTCCTTCACTTATGAAGCTTAGTTTGGCTGGATATGAAATTCTGGGTTGAAAATTCTTTAAGAATGTTGAATATTGGCCCCCCTTCTCTTCTGGCTTGTAGATTTTCTGCCAAAAGATCCGCTGTTAGTCTGTTGAGGTTCCCTTTGTGGGTAATCCGACCTTTCTCTCTTGCTGCCCTTAACATTTTTTCCTTCATTTCAACTTTGGTGAATCTGACAATTATGTGTCTTGGAGTTGCTCTTCTCAAGGAGTATCTTTGTGGCGTTCTCCGTATTTCCTGAATTTGAATGTTGGCCTGCCTTGCTAGGTTGGGGAAGTTCTCCTGAATAATATCCTGCAGAGTGTTTTCCAACTTGGTTCCATTCTCCCCGTCACTTTCAGGGACACCAATCAGATGTAGATTTGGTCTTTTCACATAGTCCCATATTTCTTGGAGGCTTTGTTCATTTCTTTTTACTCTTTTTTCTCTAAACTTCTCTTCTCACTTCATTTCATTCATTTGATCTTCAATTACTGATACCCTTTCTTCCAGTTGATCGAATCGGCTACTGAAGCTTGTGCATTCGTCACATAGTTCTCGTGCCATGGTTTTCAGCTCCATCAGGTCATTTAAGGACTTCTCTGCACTCGTTATTCTGGTTAGCCATTTGTCTAATCTTTTTTCAAGGTTTTTAGCTTCTTTGTGTTGGGATTGAACTTCCTCCTTTAGCTCAGAGAAGTTTGATCGTCTGAAGCCTTCTTCTCTCAACCTGTCAAAGTCATTCTCCATACAGCTTTGTTACATTGCTGGCAAGGAGCTGCATTCCTTTGGAGGAGAAGAGGTGGTCTGATTTTTAGAATTTTCAGCTTTTCTGCTCTGTTTTCTCCCCATCTTTGCGGTTTTATCTACCTTTGGTCGTTGCTGATGTTGATGTACAGATGGGGTTTTGGTGTGGATGTCCTTTCTGTTGGTTAGTTTTCCTTCTAACAGTCAGGACCCTCAGCTGCAGGTCTGTTGGAGTTTGCTGGAGGTCCACTCCAGACCCTGTTTGCCTGGGTATCAGCAGCAGAGGTGGCAGAACAGCGAATATTGCTGAAGAGCAAATGCTGCTGCCTGATCTTTCCTCTGCAAGCTTCGTCTCAGAGGGGTACCCAGCCGTGTGAGGTGTCAGTCTCCCCCTACTGGGGTGTACCTCCCAGTTAGGCTACTCGGTGGTCAGGGACCCACTTGAGGAGGCAGTCTGTCTGTTCTCAGATCTCAAACTCTGTGCTGGGAGAACCACTACTCTCTTCAAAGCTGTCAGACAGGGACATTTACTTCTGCAGAGGTTTCTGTTGCCTTTTGTTCTGCTATGCCCTGCCCCCAGAGGTGGAGTCTACAGAGGCAGGCAAGCCTCCTTGAGCTGTGGTGGGCTCCACCCAGTTCGAGCTTCCTGGCTGCTCTGTTTACCTACTGAAGCCTCAGCAATGGCAGGCTCCCCTACCCCAGCCTTGCTGACGCCTTGTAGTTCCATCTCAGACTGCCTTACTAGCAATGAGCGAGGCTCCGTGGGCGTGGGACCCTCTGAGCCAGGCACGGGATATTATCTCCCAGTGTGCCATTTGCTAAGACCATTGGAAAAGCGCAGTATTAGTGTGGGAGTGACCCAATTTTCCAGGTGCTGTCTGTCACCGCCTCCCTTGACTGGGAAAGGGAATTCCCTGACCCCTCGCACTTCCTGGGTGAGGCGATGCCTTGCCCTGCTTTGGCTTAGGCTTGCTGGGCTGCACCCATTGTCCTGCCCCCACTGTCCGACAAGCCCCAGTGAGATGAACCCGGTACCTCAGTTGGAAATGCAGAAATTACCCGTCTTCTGTGTCACTCACACTGGGAGCTATAGACTGGAGCTGTTCCTATTAGGCCATCTTGCAACCGCCCCCCGCACCCCGTCATATTTTCTTATAAGAATACTAGTCATATTAAAATAGGGACCAACCATATGATTTAATTTTACCTTAACTGCCCCTTTAAAGACTCAGTCTTCTAATACAGTCATACTCTGAGGTACTGGAAGTTAGGAATTCAGCAAATAAATTTTTAGTTCATAATAAGATCAAAGAACAAATAAATCATTTGAGATAAATAAAAATGGAAACAACATAACGAAACTTATGGGATATAGCAAAAGTAGTGCTTGAAGGGAAACTTACAGCTATAAATGCCTACATTTAAAAAGACAGGATCCGATATTGACAACATAACTTAATGCTTTAGCAAACTAGAAAAAGCAAAGCAAACTAAACCTAAATCCAGCAAAAGGAAGGAACTAATAGAGTTTAGAGAAGAGATAAATCAAAGATAAAGTAGAAAAATAGAGGCTACATACAAAACCAAAGTTGTTTCTTTGAAAAGATCAGCAAAATTGATAAATCCTTATACTAAGAAGACAGAAGACAAAAACAACTAAAATCAGAAATAGAACTACGAATATTATAGCAATTACAAGAATTGCAAGAGAATAATTATATGACAACAAATTAGATAATCTAGACAAATTGGAAAATTTTCTAGAAATACACATTATCAAATGTAGAAAAAAATTATCTCAAGAGAAATATCAGTAGAAAAACTGAATAATCAAAAACCTACCATCAACAAGAAGGCCACAATTAGATAAACTTCTCTGGTGAATTCTATCAAATATTTAAAGAATTAACACAAATTCTACCCAAACTTCTGCCAAAAATAAAAATAAAATAGAGGAAATACTTCTCAACACGTTCTATGAAGCCAGAATTCGACCGATATCAAAATCAGATACCATAAGAAAACTACAGAAAAATATTTCTTATGAATGTAGATGCAAAAATGCTCAACAAAATACTTGAAAACCAAATAAGCATACTGAATAAATTATATACCATAGCAAAGTGGAATTTATTCTAGAAATGCAAGCTTATTTCAATGTAAGAAAAGTAATCAATGTAACACAATGTATTTTTAGAACCAAGGAAAACTCATGACCATCTCAGCAGATACAAATAAAGCAATAAGATAAAATTCAATACCCTTTCATAATAATAATAATAAAAAAATACCCAGCCTACTCAATGGTGAAGGACTGAAAGCTTTGCTTTTAGGGTCAGGAACAAGACAAAAGACAGAGATTCATCACACTATTTAACATTGTACTTAAAGTCTTATCAGGAGTAATAAAATAAGAAAAAGAAATAACAGACATATTAGAAAAGAAGTAAAAACTATCTCTATTGCAGATGACATGATTTTCTATATTAAACAATATTTAACAAATCCAGTAATTTTTCAGTGCACAAGATGAATATAAAAAACTTAATTGTGTTTATATACAATGGCAATGAACAATCAAACACAGAAATTAAGAAAATTCCATTTATGATAGCATCCAAAGCGGAAACAATACATAGGAAGAAGTAAGATGAGGAAGTGCAAGGTATGCACACTAAGAATTACAAAACATTACTGAAAGAAATTAAAGAAGGCCCAAATAAATGGAAATATAGCCTGTATTGGTAATCAAAATACTTATTATTGTTAATAGAACAAAACTTTCCAAAGTAATCAGAAGATTCAGTGCAACTCAATCAAAATCCCAATGGCCCTTCTTGCAGAAATGGGAAATCTGATTTTCAAATTCATGTGGAATCACAAGGGGCCCTTAATAGTTAAGACAACACTGAAAGAAAAAAAAATGATTTAAGACTCAAATTTCCCAATTTCAAAACTTATTAGAAAGTTTCAGTAGTCAAATGTAGTACTAGCAGAAGGATAGACATATAGACCAATGGAATAGAATTGAGAGTCCAGAAATAAACCCAAGCATCCATGACTAATTGATTTTTGACAAGAGTATCAAGACAAGTCAACGGGGGGAGGAGTGATCTCTAACAAATAGTGGTGGGATAACTGGAAAAACATATTCTAAAGAATAAAGTTGAACCCCTTCCTCACACCCAACACAAAATTTAACTCAAAATGCACCATAGCCTAAATGAAGGTCTAAAAGTATAAAACTATTGAAAGAAATCACAGGGTAAATCTTCATGATCAGGCAATGGATTCTTGACACCAAAAGCATGAACAACAAAAGAAAAAATAAATAAGTGGGAATGTGAAAATAATCATAAAAGGTACATTGCCCATCCCAAATTATAGAAGTTGTCTTTTAGACTTTTTAAATATTGATGCTAACTTTGTGGCATTTGTATTCTCTGTAAGAATCAAGTAATATTTTTAATTTATTTTGTTAGTCACAACTATGTCTCAATCCACAAGGAAAATATTCATATATGAGTGTAAGGTATATTTTAAATTCAGATTGGAAGCACTTCTTGCTGCATATATAGATTTATTATCAAAGTGGTTACGGTCTTTAAGTTGGCAATTACTGCTTTAAATGTGTCTGCAAACAAAAGTAGTTTGAATATCTAAAAAGGTTTAATAAAAACATTAAAATTTTAAATATGTAGACCACACTTTGTTTACCAAAAGGCAAACTTTCTTTATACTAATGTTAAGTAATATTTGTATATGTATATATTTTTATAGTTTAAAAATTAAAACTAATATTTGCATTTCTCAATCTTTCTTGAGAGTGCTAGGATCTTTGGTTAACTCCAGAGAGTAATAGCCTAAAATTCCAGATTCTTAAATAAAAACTTTTCATTATTGTTTATTGAGGATCTACTTGTTTACTATATAATTAGTTTTAATCAAATAGAATATAGAGACCATAGTAAATTAAGTATATATGACTATATTTTTCTAGTATCTAAATACCATCAAGCCAGGAGTTAGACCTTACTGCCCATCATATTTCTATGCCTAACAGATGTTCATGGACTACATATTGATTGAATTAACACTTTTTCACATATTAATGTAGAACTTGTTTCTACTAGAGAAGTAGAAACAAGTTGTCTGCAGTGCCATTTTTGTGATCAAAATTTTTAACAACTTCAGATTTTGAATGTAAAAACTGTCAACCATTTAATTTTACAGGGGCCAACAGCAACGATAAAAAACAAAGTAAAAAAATGCTTAGTATTAAATTTTAATATATTCTTATTCTATTGATCTTTTTATTAGCAGCAGAGGAGGAAATGCATCATCAATTTACATATACTCTTGAACTTGAGATGTTTTCTGCACTTGGGTAAAATAATAAGTGATGTATAATATTACCTTCCACTAATTACAAGCTATCCTAATTGTTGACCATCCTTGAACATACTCATTGCTGTAATTATGCAATAAATGCAAGTGCCTTTCTTTTAAATAATTCTAACTGAATTGTTGTTACCTTAGAATGTACATAAAACGAAGAATATGGCCTGTAACATACTTGAAAATGTATGGATTTTCCCCCAGAAACCTCAGCACAATCTTAGACTTTCCCTTCTTCTCTGCTTCTCAAAAACGCTCAAGGTGTTACATGTTCCCAGACCCATGGTGGGTGTCAATTCCCTACAATCTTGAAGAAAATATGAAACAGAATTGTGAAACTATTTCAATGTTATATTACTTAATAATAATAATAATGGTAAGAAATAAGGCAAAATTTGTATCATTGAATTAACCAGGCATAATTGGAACCTATGTGAATGTTGTAAGCAACAGAATGTTGCTTTAGCATTTCCTGTAAATATAAAGTAAAGAAAAAAAAAGAGAGAGAGACTAAAAGTAATGTTTACTTTTCATATTTCCAGTGTACTAAAGTAACATGACTAATATATACCTCCTCTGGATGAGTAAAATTCTACTTGCATCATCATTTGAAATTCTTTCCTGTAAAATTTATACTAAAATTTTATCATGCAATGCTTTCAATTCCACTGAGGAAAGATATTAATGTTTGGCAATGTTAATAAAATCTATAGCAGGTCATTATACATCTATTGGATCATTGCATCTTAGGATATTGTATAGTAATAAAAGGCTCTTAATTCTGATGAAATAATTCATAGAGCAAAACATAGTGTAAATGTTCCTTGCAAAGTGTTCTGAAAATTGCTAGGTAGTTGAAATAATAACAATGTAATAAATAAGAAGGTAATAAAGCTAGCACTCATGAATCACATTTTTACTTTTCCAGAAGCCCAGGAAAATGTAATGGTCACCTTAATCCTGAATTATTTTTGTTTGTGATTCCAACTATGAGTAAATATTGTGTTTTTTGAATCTTTTAACTGTAATAATAATACAATGGCCTCAAAGAATAATAGTCTCGTCAAAGAATACATTAGCTTTTGAAGGAAAAACTGAGATAGTCTATGAAGAATTAGAATTTTAGATGGTAAGAAGAAAGTATAATGGCAAAACAAACCATTCTGAGAAAATCAGAAAGATTAGGTGCACTGTGGATCACAAATTATTGCAGTTTAATTTTTAAATGAGTTTAGACATCTGTGAAATTTAAACCCCAGGGCCAGTGATTTGTGTGACAGTATGTTACAAAAGGAACAAAATTTGACATGCAAATTCCAGCTTTATGTTGTATCAGCCCAAGTAACCTTGCAAACAACCTTCACACACACACTGGAAGCTGACTGATGCCTCCCATATGGGTCCGTTCTTTCTTTCCTCTTCCCAATCAAGTTGACAGCAATTCTCAGTTCATTTTCTAAATGAACTGATAAAAGCTATGCTAGGCCTGTACCTGTTATTAACCTCCCTTGCACTATTATCACTCATATGTTTTCCTTTGAAATAAGCAGCTAAATGCAGAAGGTGATCTTTGCATATGGTGGGCTATTACCCCCAACAAAGAATTGCAAATGTCAACCTATTACTGGGTCACTAATATCAGGTCATGATATTCCAGAATTTGATGTTTTTAACCTTTGCAGACATTAACCCATATAGAATACAATTTTGAAAAGGCTTTATTTATCCTTGGTAACGATGGATACATGCCCCAGAAATACTGTCCTATAATATTAGGTACTATATATTCGGCAAGGATCATTAAGTATATTTATGTAACCATTTCCTGCAGCTTGGTTTGGCCCTTCTTCTATTACTTTAGAGAATCCAAAATTATGGGTGAAAGAAATGTTCAGATGTCTAATAGAAGAAATCACAAATAAAACAGAATGTAATTGTGTTTTATTTTATTATAGAATTACTCCCCAATTCTGACTTATTGTTTAGACAAAGTTTGCAAGGATATTATCTTGTTTATTTTTTCATTGAAAGTCAAAATTATGTCCTGTTATAAAATTCAACGAAGTCAATTTCATTGCATTAAGTAGTTTTAGTGTGTATCATTAAAGTTATATTTCAAGAGGTTGAGGCAAATATATGATGAAATCCTTTAAATGGATTTTGCATATCTGTGGCGATGCTCACATTGCTCTGGATCCATGTTGCATTTGTAATGTAGATTTCAAAATATTAGAAAAAATACAGAAGCCTGTGTGTATTTTAAAGAAAATTATGTAAAGTAGGGTTTTAATGAATCAATTAATATCTATTTCAATTGTTTTGATTTTTAGCTTAACTGACCATGTTTTATGAAAATATTTTGAAAACTAGTGAGGAAGAATAAGAAAGTAAGAGAATCTATTCAAAGTGAAAAAAATATGAATAAAGTGAAGCAAATTCATCTATTATCTTATGCTCAAGGGAAGGGATTTTCTGCATATTTCTGTAAGATAGTCTCTATATAAATCATATATTCATTAATGAATTTTTTATCATCCATCTTTTCAGTACCTTATTCTACAGCTGTCCCAGGCACTACAGTGGCAGGCTTATTCCAAAATGGTCCCAATGTTCCCCACCTTGTGTAATTCTTCCTCTTGAGTGTGAATGGACCTGTGATGTTCTTCTAATCAACAGAATGCATGATTATACTGCATAAGATTGTAACTTCCGTTTGGCTAATAAACTCACTCTGTTGTCGTCTCCTCAGCCCATACGCTTTGATGAAGCAAGCGGCCATGTTAGAGAGGGTCACGTGCTATTGACAATGGTGTGAGCTTATACATGGATCCTTCCCCATTTTAGCTTTTCAGTGAAATCCCAGCTGTTACTGACACCTTGATTGCAACCTTCTGAGAGATCCTGGAGTGGAAGAGCCAGCTAACCAATATCTAGACTCTTGATCCACAGGTTACCAAGGCTAGACCATAGGGACACAAATCCAGAGAATGGAGTTTAAAGATCCTGAACAATGAGGAAAAGCTGATATTTAAACAATAAGTACGAGTTACTCAGGAGAAGGGTGGTATGTTTGCATGCCTCATGGAGAGGGTAGATGATGCTGGTCTGAAAAAGGACACAACAAATGAAAATACACAGAGGTGAGAAGGTGAGAAAAAGTTATGGCCTGATCTACTGTCTGTGATGTTAAATGCAAGGCAAGGAGTAGTAAGAGAAGAAGAATTCAAAATGAAAGATAAAGAAGATGAAAAATTAAGCAGAGACCAGGGTCATGAATAGCCATGTAATCCGTATCTATAATGAAAATCATGCCTAGAATAAAATTCTAAGGGCAATATGAAATCAGTATAAACTTTTACAAAATTATTATGTGCAAAAAAGCATATGCTCCAAAATATTTTATAACCACTTTCAGAAAGTATAATTTTCAAGTGAATCACTTCATTGTCACCAGTTTTCTACAGGTTGGTATCTAGTCCTACAGAGTTGTTAAAGAAACTAGTCAATTAAAGAGCATACTCTTGTATAGTTAGGCGATTCCAGGAGGGCCCTCTAGACTATGTTTGGCAGTCTACTGAAGGGTCACACAGGAATCGTTTTGGTTATTTGCAGGTATTGGATAATTTTTCTTATTTCATTGCATATGATACAACATCTTTCTCTTCATCTATGACTGTCATTTTCCTATGGATTAAATACTTGGGTTGTAACTATTTCCCCTGAACCTTGGATTTACTGTTCCTTTTTCTCCTGGCACTTAAATTCACAGAGTAGACGTTTGAGCTTCCTTTCCACATCATTGTTTCTTTATTGCAAACTCCATTTTTTTTGCCATTTTTAATTGTTTTAATTTTCTAAATATATATAAATATCTCACCAAAGCCTGTTCAGGGAGGGGAATTTCCTTTGTTTTGGTAAGAGTATCACATCACCTTCATTTTTATACCTAGTTTTTTTTTGCTGTTTTAATATAATGACAATTGCTAACATTTATTCTGCACTTATTATTAGAACAAACACTTTACACACCTTATCCCTGTAAATCTCATAACATACTTAAAAGATATTATTATTATCCCTGTTTACAAATGTGAAAACTGATGCATAAGAGGTCACTGGCCATAGCTAATGAGTATGGAGATTAGAGATGGACTCAGACTGACCAGCTGTGGAGTTATTGCTTCAGGCCTATTTTGATAGTGTAAAAATCATCATCCATTGATTAATTCAATAGATAGTTGCAGGATACTTACAGTATCTAGTCATGGTGCTGGGAATTGGGAATACTGTATTAAACAAGATAAGTCTGTGGTCCAGAGATATTTTAATGTTATTTTAAATTTAAAAATAAAGGAAACATTGTGACTAAGAAGAAATCAAAACAACAAGAAAAAGTCCTGTTTATTTTCAAGTAAATTTATTTTCAAGTAAATTACCACCAAATCTCAAAGGAAATTTGGTGGTGTCACCTCTCCCAGGGTCCCCACCAGTTAAGCTCTCCAATTTCTCTTTCACAAGTTGACTTGCTTTACTCTCTCATCGCTCATTTTCATGTTGTTATATTTTTGCCACTATATGGCTTTCTATCCTTCTCAATTTGAGGCCATGCTATGTCTCCAGCATCCTATCAGGATTGTCAAATTGTTTTCTAATGTGTTCTATAGAATATCATTTATGAAAGTTTATATTTCTCCAAGTCTCACAGATTCTAATTATTCCACTTTGTTCTGTAATACATGCTTTTAAGCTCCATGGTATTGGGATCCATTACTTTTCTCGTTGTCAACAAGGTGGGGGCTATGTAACATTAACATCAATTTTTGGCTTTGATCAATGGCCAGGTAGGTCCCAGGCCCGGGTTG
The DNA here is from genome assembly GCF_000001405.40 of Homo sapiens. NCBI lineage: Eukaryota > Metazoa > Chordata > Mammalia > Primates > Hominidae > Homo > Homo sapiens. The sequence continues at coordinate 92,272,634 of NC_000013.11, read as the reverse complement.
AACTTTTCATTACACAATGGGGCAAGAGACTGATAATTACACTTTCCAATGCCATTCCTTCACAGAGTCTTGACTGTGCAGGACTTGTGATTTCTCCTGCACCTGTCCGGTCCTCTGACAAGTTAGTAGGGTACTCAGTGGCTGTGATGGCAGAATCACTATCTTCCTATTGTCTTTCAAATAGAAATATCAATTCTATTTCATAAATCAAAACATTGCTAGATGGTTACATCATAGGCAGTTTTCTCAATGTAGCCCCAAGTACCTCATGGCTAGTGGATATTCCTCTCAGGAATGCAGTAGGCTGACTCTCAGACAGCCTATGTGTTCTATGATGATGTGACTTTCCCTTCTTTCCTGTGTTTCTACCTTTCTTCTTCCCTTCCATCCTTAGATTTTTACAGGTAAATATTGGCTAAAAAAATGTGGGAAGGGTATATTAGGATCAACTAGTCAAATTGCATTTTAAATGAAAGAACTTTATTCAAATGTTAATCATGACATGTTAGGAAACTTACTAACTAGTTTAGAGATGCAGGTGCCCATCCCTGCCATCACTGGCTGAGTATAGTGAATAAAGGTGACAATCAGAATGGAAAGGATGTAGGTTTGCCAAATAAGACTTTGAGCCCCAAAATAAACAATCAGATGATTGACTCCCGTCATCCTATTAGGCTCAATGTTGCTGATTTGAGGCTTTATTTTTTTACTTATGCTTAATCTTATCTTCATTTTGTATTTTCAATTTATTTACAGTCATCTTATTACTGCCTAAGAAACATTACTCAGACCATATTTATACTGGAGGATAAGAAATCATTTCTGCAGTGTAATTTCTTTCCTACTTACCTAGTCACATACACTAAGCATTGCTGAACTCCTACTCACCATTTTCATTTATCTCTAGAGCTCTACCTTCTTTCTGACTCTCCTTTCTCCTCTCCAGCTTCATTCACAACTCCACCCTGGATTTCTTTATCTCAGAGGAATATCATTATGCCTTACATCCTTACTAAACGTGCCTATTAATATATTTAGAGGATTACAACTTATAACTTTCTCTTTTTATTTCATATATAAGTTGCTGCATGATATTCCTATAGTATTCTTTGTCACCAATCTCTTTCTCAAAAAGGTGGCTTTAGCAGCTAACTTTATACCTGGAAATATATAATAAGTTGTAAAAGACTCTGGTTCATGGAAAACATGTCCCAAGGGCATTAACAAGTAAGGTATAAGCCATAAAAGGGTGGAGTTAGAAACAGATTATTCATTTATCATGATCCCTGGGAAAATATTTTTGCTAGAAGTAACAGGTAGTTCTCCTTCTACACTTAGTTAAAATGTGAAGCTACAAATGACTGTACAACATGTTCCATGTCTCCCCAAAAATATCACCTTTGGCAAGGCATAGTAGATGGCATGCCCTGGCATTGCTCTACATAGAAAGTTACTTGGACATTGTTCAGAAACAAAGGAGAAATCACATACTTATCTCACAGCAGTGAAGCTCCAGGGAATTGGGCTCTAAATTGTTTCTGTGGGCGCCCTGGAAACAATAGTTTACATCAAGTGATAGGTCAGCTCCCAAACTCCCAGTAGACCTCATAGAGCCTCTATGTCTTTTTGAAGGCCAAACCAAATATTTCTAAAGGTAGTGTGCTTGAGCATGGTTCATAAAGACCACACATAAGCCAACAAAAATAAAATAGCTCTTTCATATTCAAATACAAAGCAAGATTATGTATTATATAAGCATAGAAGAGATCCAAGGCTGTTATCTTTGCAAATGTAACTCTAATGTCTATATTTTTAAAAAGGAGTTTAGCTTTCTTGATCTGCCCAGAAAAGGATTTAAATAAATGAACTGATTTCAGAATCTGCATGTAGGGATTTTCTATTATGAAACAGCAACCTATAAAAACAAAGATATTTTCATATTATCCTCTTATTTGCAATTCATGTTATTTGTTACTACCTAATGAGGAGTAATTTTTAAGAGTCCACATTTTCTAGATATATGTATTACTCTGTTCTTGCATTGGTATAAATACTTGAGACTGGGTAACTTACAAAGAAAAGAGGTTTAACTGGCTCACGGTTCCACAGGCTGTAAAAGACTCATCTGCCTGACTTCTGAGGAGACCTCCACAAACTTACAATCACGGCAGAAAGTGAAGGGGGAGCCAGCACTTTACACAGGAGCAGGAGAAAGAGAGAGGTGTGGAGGTGCTACACACTTTTAAACAACCAGATCTCATGAGAATACACTCACTGTCACAAGAGCGGCATGGAGGGGGAAATCCACCCCTATGTTCCAATCACTTCCCACGGAGACCCACCTCCAACAGTGGGGATTACAATTCAACATGAGATTTGGGCTGGGACACAGATCCAAATCTTATCAATATATAATGGGAAGAACCATTACATTCCATTTGCCATTCAAGTATCTCCTTCTTACATGATTTGCTCACTACAATCAACAAGTTTCAAATTCCCATCATGATCCCTATGTTCCTATTTCTGTAATATGTGCCTGAGGACATGTGGGAGCCTCCCCTTCCCCACCACCCTCCTTACCCTTCCCTGAACCACAGTTCCCATGTGAGCTTGCTGGGATCAGAAAAGTACAAGGGTCTCCACATGACAAAATCACTCGGAGGATATAACTACAGGTTACTTGCATTGAAATAGACTTTGGTAGGGATGCTTACTAATTAGCAACATAAATGAGAAATGCTGATAATGTCTAGTACTAAAATCACCCATCCTAGCCATGAGCTCTTCTATAAAGCAAGAAAACAAGGAATACAAAACAAACGAAAACCAAAATCCTGCTCTAGCTTTGGCAGACTTCTGTGTTCCACAAGACGAGAAGACTCAGAGGCTGTAATGGGGTTAGGATTTAGGTCAAAGGATCCCTTCGGGCCAGGTGTGGTGGCTCACGCCTGTAATCCCAGCACTTTGGGAGGCTGAGGCGGGCAGATCACGAGGTCAGGAGATCGAGACCATCCTGGCTAACATGGTGAAATCCCGTCTCTACTAAAAATACAAGAAACTTAGCCGGGCATGGTGGCAGATGCCTGTAGTCCCAGCTACTTGGGAGGCTGAGGCAGGAGAATTGCTTGAACCCGGGAGGCGGAGGTTGCAGTGAGCCGAGATCGTGCTGCTGCACTCCAGCCTGGACGACAGAGCGAGACTCTGTCTCAAAAAAAACAAAACAAAACAAAAAAAAGGAATAGATGTCTAAAAAAATAAAGCTACTATAATTAAAATTGTTTGATATAGGAACATAATCGACAAATAGAAAATTACAACCTAATAGCATACAGAAGTAAAATCAGATATATAAAAATTGGGGTATTTCAATTTAGTTATGAAAGTATATACTACCACCTAGCATATACAAAAACAAATTTCAAATGGATAAAGGATCCAAGCATTATATAAGAAAATTAGAAAAATAAGGTTTATATTCTTTGAGTAAAGCCCTTGAAAAGAAATCAAGTCATGCATCATTTCCAAAGACAAAATAAGAGTAATTATGAATAACGTCTACTGATAAAATATAAACTGGGAAAAAGCATTTGAAGAGTATAAACAGACCAAATGGTTATTTATCTACTAAATTAAGAAGTCCTATATATAAATATGAATATAACAACCAAATAGACAAATGTAAACTTAATAAAGATCTACAATTAATAAAAACGTATATAAAAGGCAATTAAACATACTAAAAAAAGTTTGAAAACATGAATCATAAAATTGTCAACTTTGAAAGATTAGTTACATCCATTGCTGACAATGACATAAGAAAAAGTATTCACATACATTTTATTCTGGACCAAAATTTAACCTGATACTGTTTAGACATAAAGCAAAGGACACATATTTGTCTCCAGTCCAAATCTATGAGGTAAGTATAAGATAAAAAATTCTTACAGAATAATTTTGTAGCTTCATTTCAAGAAAAATGGCTACAAAAGTTCTAGCAGGAATAAAGATAAATGAACAAAGTTTTTTATGAGCGTGTATAATAGCAAAAAAAAAAGATATTACCTAAATATCCATCATATAGAGCTGGTTAAATAATTTATTATAAACATCTCCACCAGGAAATACAGTGTCACTATTTTACAAAATAAAGATATGTAGGTACCACAGAAGTGAATTAAGAGTATGTATTTTTAAATCTGATTTAAAAACTGTATGATACTATCCTATTTTGTTATATATCTGTGCCTATATCATTTTTCCATGAGAAAAAAAAAGTATAGAAAGAGATATATACCAAATCAAAGGGCTGAAATGGGAAGAATAATTTGTACTTTATATATGTCAAAATGAAAATAGTAATATTTGGGAGAATTTTTAATTTCCTTTTTACCTTTTTTTGAAATTTCAAAAAGTTGAGTGAAATCGAGTAATTAAAATACAGTGAGCTATATACAATATTAGAACAGTTTACGTGATAGCACATAAATAGTAAGAATCATTTGCGATTTTTTTTTTAAGTCCTGAAATTAAGGTGCCTTATCCATTGTGTTTTGAAGGGTAAAAATATAATTTTCTGAGTGATTACAGTTTCTGAAAGCATATGATACTCAAAAAGTTATAAGCACAAAGATGTAAAACATTCAAGGAACCACAAGTTCTTTGGCACTATTAGACTAAAAATATAACTGTGAGATAAATCTCAGAAGAGTGTTAAGAAACAGGTCATGAAAAGCCTATATCCTGCTAAAAATTTTTTATTCTATTCTAGGGGTTGGGAGTTTTCTTCTTATAGGGTCAGATAGTAAATATTTTAATTTGGCCTCTGTCAGAACTACCCAATTCTGTACTGTAGTCAAAGCAGTGTGACAATGTGTAAATGAACAAGTGTGAATGTATTCCAATAAAACTTTATTTACAAAAAAAGAGTAAGCCAGTTCACAGAATGCAGTTTGCCATATTCTAGGCAATGTGGAATCCATAAAATATGTTATTAGAGACATGACTTAATTTTAAAAAGCATGAAATTAAGAAGAATGTGAAGAAAAGGAAGTCTCAGGATCAAGTCCCAGGTTTTACTAAGATTTGGAAACTGTATAATGAGGAGTAACCAAGGATTCTGAGAAAGATCAGCCAATGAAACAGAATGAAAAACCCGGACAGTGTGGTATGGCAGAAGCCAAGAAAAGAAATACAAAGAACAGAATGTTCAGTATTGTAGAGGGCTGCTGAGTCAAATAAAATTAAGGAAGACATTTTCTCATGGATGTACAGGATGGAAATTATTATGAGAAAATTCTGAAGTGGTAATGATTGAGAACAGGTTAAAGAAAAACTGGAAGATAATAAAGAGTATATAATCTAGCAAAATCTTAAAAACAAAAAAAGCCTTGCTATGAAGACTAGGGAGGTAAAATAATAGCCAGGATGTATGGAGGAAACATTATATTAAAAAAGAACGTATGTTTGATTAGTTGTTTTTAAGCTAGGCAATATTTTATTTGAAGTTTACATGTATGCTTATTAGAACTCCGAGAAAGAAATGAATTGTGCAGAAGAAAGGAAGCAAAATTGCATGAAGCTAAAGCAATAAAAGACTCAATTTTAGCAAAGAAAAAATAGCTCTGATATTTGTAGAAATAAAGTTTTGGTGGGAGGACACAAAAAGCAAAATTGAACCTTCAAAAACCAAACTTCTGTTTTTGCAGTGCTCCGTGTCATTAAGTTTTTTATTTAACAAAAAAAAAAAATTGTGTTTTTCTTTCTATGTTTGAAAATAGATGTCTGGTCACTGATGTTTTTAATTACACTATCATTAGTAAGAATCAAATAATTTGTGTCTTCATTTCTTAAAACTAAAATGACATTTAATTTATGGGAAAACGCCAAAAATGTTATTTCTGCTAATGATATTTGAAACTTAAGATGCTAAGTTAGTGTCATTAAAAGTTAACTTAGTTTCCAACTACAGTGAAATAAGCACATTCCACCCAATCTCTCCCTTTGATTATAAGACTTGGAGATAATATACATAGCTTCCATCAGAAGACTCTGAAAGGTACGTAACAGCAAATAGACTGGCTAGGGAACACAGGACCTGAGGGATGACTCAGCAGTGAATTCTCCGATGTTTTCTGTTTTGTCTTATTTTTTTTGCTTCCTATATCCTATATGGGGCTTTAAGTAAACTTAAATCCTGGAAGTCTGAATGGATGTAGTTAGAAAAAGCTCCAGAAGAGAGCATCTTCCTCTAGCCAGAAAATCAGGTGATAAATAAATTATCCTTAAAATCTTCCCATTCAGAGTAAAATACTTAGATTTAAAAATCTAAAAATCTAAGAAATAAAGTGAACTCTAATCCGTATCAACTGGAAGATAATCACACTCAAACATCTTAGAATCAAACGGCTAAAAACAAAGATAAAGAAAAAAGAAGTTGAAAATAGGGGTGAGAAGAACCCAGTTATGCTTTAAATGCGTCCCCTAAAAAATATGCACTGGAAACTTAATCCCCAATGTAACAGTGCTGGGAGGTGGGGACTAATGAGAGGCAATTAGGCTATGAGGGTTTTATCCCAATAAATGGATTAATGCTATTGTTAAGGGAGTGTGTTCGTTATTACGGGGGTGGGTTTGTTATAAAACAGCAAGTTCAGTCCCCTCTTGCTTTCTCTTTCACCTTCTCTTTGCCCTTTCACCTTCACCTTTGGGGATGATGTAGCAAGAAGCCCCTTGCCAGGTGCTGGCCCCTTGATCTTGAATTTCTCACCCTCCAGAACCATAAGCCAGTAAGTTTTGGTTCACTGTAAATTATCCAGGGTCTGAGGTATTCTCTAACAGCAGCACAAAATGGACTAAGACAAATTGGTACTGGAGAAGTGGGGCGCTGCTATAACAAATACCTGAAAATATGGAAGCAACTTTGGAGCTGGGTAATGGGCAGAGACTGAAAGGGCTTGGAGAAGCAGGCTGCAAAAAGCCTCTATTTCCATGAATGAGGCACTAATGGGGATTCTGGTGAGAGTTCAGAAGAGAACAGCTGTAGGGAAATTCTGAATCATCTTAGAGATTACTTAAGTCATTGTTATCAGAATATTGGTAGAAATGTGGACAGGAAAGGCCATTCCAAAAAGGTCTTAGAGATAAATGAGGAAAATCTTACTGAAAAATGGAGTGAAGAAAGACCATTTTTGTTACAAAGTGGCAAATAATTTGGCTAAATTGTATCTATCCCCAAAGGCTTTATGAAAGGCAGAATTTAAGAGTGATGAACTAAACTATCTGGAGAAAGAAATTTCTCAGCAAAATATTGAAGCAGCTGTGTGGCTTCTTTTAACTGGATATAGTAAAAAGTGAGAGGTGAGAATTTAAAGATGGAATTTATAAATTAAAAGGGAAGCAATTTGGAAAATTCTCACCCTGGCCATATAAAGAATTTTAAAACTGTTTGAGAGAATACTAAGGGTATGGCCAAGCATCTGTTTGCTAAGAGATTAATATGGATGGAAGGAAGTCATGTTCTATTCATTAAGACAATGGGAGAATGACACCAAAGGCATTTCAAAAATTTTCCAAGAAAGGTAGGCTCTTGAGGGCAAAGTTTTCAGAAAGGTGCTCATGGGACCTCACCATTCATGCCCTAAACTGCCTCAAATCTCTGCTCTCTACATTTCCGTGCAGCCTTGAACCTGGAATGCAATGGAGTTGCAACACACACACACACACACACACACACACACACACACACACACACACAGAGAGAGAGAGAGAGAGAGAGAGACCCTAAACATATACAAGACACAAAAAAAAGTTTCAATAATTTGAAAGGACTTAAATCCTACAGAGCATAAAGCATGAACATGTTGCTATTGAGCTATAAATTAGTAACAAAAGATGGGAAAAATCCATATTATTGGAAATTATCCTATATACTTCTCAGTATTGTAGAAGAAATAAGAAAAAAAAAAAACTAGACAAGAACAACATAGGTTGAACTCAGCAGCTCCCATTGTTACTAGTGGAGGGTCTTGACTGTAAGTCATCCAGGTTCTTGGTGTTTTGAACAAAGAATTGGACAAAACGTACAAGCAAAGCTCTCCTTGCTCCATTTTTTCATTGCTTTGCTTGTGTGTGTGTGTGTATGTGTGTGTGCTTCTTGCAACTCCATTGCAAACCCAAAAACTAATGAAAACCACCATTTAGGCACAGTTTGGGAAAACACCTTAAAGCAAAATATGGTGCTAAATGCTGGGCTCACCTCTCTTTTGCCTATTTCCAGTAACTATTTTGTTGCCTTGGGTTTACTCTTACAAGGTAGTTCATAATAGTCTTTAAAAAATAATTTTAAAAATGTTACAGCCAGCTTCTAACATCTTGTTTCATTTATTAATTTTCTTGTTATTAGTATATTAGTATATTTACTCTCTACTGAGCTGACCTGATAATTTAGACTAGCATACAAAAGGGAATATCATAGGGTTGATAGTACTTTTAAATATGATAGCCTCTGGAATTAGACAAAATTTTCTTTTATTTTTAAAATTTTATTTTTAAATGACAAATAATTATGTTTATTTATGGGATATAATGTGATGTTTTCTGTATGTTTACAATGTGAAGTAATTAAATCAATCTGATTAACAAATCCATCACTCCAAATGCTTTTGAATGTGGAATTTTGAGACATACAATTCATTATTATTGATTATAGTCACCATTCTGTGAAATTATCGCAGCAATTCCTAATACTGCTCCCACCAATGAATGATTTTCCATTTCCAGGGAAAAACCCAGTTGCTAGTCACTTACCTCAATCTTTGGCCTGAACCTTTAAAGATTTTTATCGGTGATATGGCCGATAATACAAGAAAACATTTTCAGATGACTTTAAGCCAAAATGGATTCTTAAGGTACAAGGTAAAAATTGAACACTATGGGTTAATATTTTGTCCCCATTTATAAATGGGAATAATAAATACCTTTGTCAGTATAACACAGCTAATATTTGAAGGATTATCTGACTCTGAAGCTCAGTTCCCTACCTTCTACCCCACTATATATTATACTATACTTCCTGGAAGACAGGACAAGAAGAAATGTAAATGATCTAAGAAGGGAATATTATCCTTAGAGAGCAGAATCTTTCTTCTTAAAAAATAGAAACAAGAGAGGAAAAGTGATACAAATAAATACTGTATTGGAGAGGAAAAAGAAGGAAACACATGTCCTAAGATACTGATGTTGACTTTCCCAGCTGAGTGGGAAGCACGTTTGCAATGGGAGTATGAAGTGTGTTGCTTCAACTCAAGAATGCGTCTGTGCTCTGAGTAGCCTGTGTTTCCATTTTAATATGTAAATATTTAAACAGTATCCAAGTGACAACTTTTATTCACATGATTTACACATGATAAATTTGTTTCCTTTTCTTCTGTTGTATCATTTATAATTCTATAATTCTCTAATAATTTACAAATATAATAACATTATTATTCTATAATTTAGAGTAATATTGTTTCCAGTTTTCATTTTTCTGTACAATGAAGAGAGACTTTGAACTTCTCCACAGTGAGTTAAGATGGCTACTCTCTATGTCATAAAAATATAAACCAAGGTGTTCCATCTTTATGACAATGTATAAAATATTCGGTCCGTGCTAATAGCTAAAGAGTATGGAAATGGTAGGATAGAGAGTAATACCGGGATAAAAAGACAAGAATAGCTTGATTCAAGGCTTAGCCTACTCAAAGGATAAACTAATGAAGCACATGATGAGAAAGAGCTAACAGGAACTAATTCTCAATTCTTTAGTCTCAACCTTTTTTAGTTTTTCTCAAGACTTTGCAAGAAGCATATTTACATTACTTTTAACTTGAAGTTATATATTGTGTGAAATGTGTTTGAATAACTCTGTATACATTAAATCACTTGTAAGTAATAGGATACGGAAATCCCAATCCATTTCTACTATGATGCAATTGTCTGAATTCATGACTTGTTACTCTCTAGGCTGTAATTTATTGGTAGCTACCAATTGCTCTGTTCAAATGAACACATTAAGTATGCACTGAAAACACGTGAGCTCAAATGCATGGCATTAATGCTAAATATAAAGATCCTTTCAGTTTTTCTTGGCCTCCTGGCTCAAACTCCTTCACTCTGAAAGAAAGCTAGAGAATGGCACATCTATTTTCTTTATTATATCAGGTCTTAACCCAACATTAATATCAATTGAATAAAATCAATTTTAAAACTTCCCCTAAATGTCACATTATTCAAATAGACCATGTTGTCACAAAATGTACTATCTATTAAAGCAATAAAAGTAAAACACGAATGCCCTGTGTTGACATTTCACTGCATAGCATCTCCACTAATAAGATTTTGGCTCTGCTTCTAGTTATAATGCACTTGTGAAATACTAGAAACCAAATATAAATCAGATGTTATAAGGTAGCTCCAAGGTCCATGGCAGTACAAGGACCTGCAGAGAAGTACTGGAAGGAAAAGGGCAGAGAAGTTTTGCTTCTTTTTCTCCCTCAAATATAGGCAGGTATTTTCCTTATCTTCTTCTTTTACATTTATTACATTAAAGCTGTAATTCTTTTGGGAAAAAAGCCTGACTACAAATACTGGACATATGGCAAAACCTCAATAGATATTTTCATTTGTATACCTATCTCACACCATTTACAACAGTATAACAAATGCCAGGTAGAGATGCCGACATTTACAAATGACATTGCACTTAAGATTTAGATATACCATTTTATCCTATGTTTTATGCAATATTTAATCATATGCTCTTTTCAATTATTCTGTAGTTTTCATAATTATTGTTAATGATCCTTTTGTTCTCCAAACCTTTATTAAAATTTAACTAATAAGCTATTTTTTCCAATATTTACATAAAGCACTATATCATCAGATGCAAAATGTGTCATGAGTTAATGTCTTTTTAATATGAAAGCAGTAAAGTTTTCCTATTCACCCATACATCATTATGCTTACTGGTATAATTAGTGGTAATTAAATATTCTCTCTCTTAATCATTTCTTTAAAGCTGGCAGAAATCAATTTCTAAATCCTTATTTAGATGAGTAATGCACACTCTACAGAGATTTTTTTTTCCTATTAAGGTGAAGGCATTATCCTTTTAGAAACTGAACCATTCACTACACCAAGAGCTACCAATCCATTCACAACACCAATAATTACTATGTAATATTTAATTTCTTATTACAATGTAGAAACTTATCTGAGAAGTCTGACTTCAAATGCATTCTTGAGCTTTTGATTGCCTTGCAACATGTAACACACTGAATAGAAGGATTGTAAGATTGTATGATTCTAAATAGTTTGTCACTTGAGGTTATGCTAGCAAAATTGACAAAGACTGAAAAAGAACAAAAAATCACAAAATTATTTGGTAACTAGTGTTCAGTTGTCACTTTTCTAGTTTTTCCATTTAATAATACATCATAATTCTTTCCATATAATTTCAAACATATGTAATTTAATGACTTTCTAATTTTAAATAAGAAAGATGCTTACAACATGGTTATAATGTTCTGATGTTTAGTCACACAAATGTTATTATATAAGTATTGGGATATTAGTTTTGGAAATTTTTATGATGTATAATTCCCAGTAATACTCATTATTTCAACTACTATAACAACTGACCTTTGAGGTCTTAAGGGCTGATTCTTTCAGGAAGCAGAATTAAACATTTAGCTTTTCATGCAAACTAAATATAAATGTCTTTAAGCAGAGCACATCTAAAGTCAAGAGAAAACGAGCTGGTTTTTCAATTCTCATGTTAATTAAATCAAGTAATAAGACAGGAATAGAGATGGATGTTTTATCAGTCTTTCTACCAAGAAAACATAAGAATGCTATAAACAAGTGAGAAGAGACAGGAGGAAAGGGACTAAAACCATGGGGGATACTAGTAACCAAACCCACCCTACTTATTTCCTGTGGCTATGGGTAAATTTTTGAAATCTCCGTGGGGAGTTGCAGACATGACAAGAGGATGACAGATGAGCAGAAGCCTCAGTTCCGGGTGCAGTGGGGGTGAAAACAGGATGTAAGGCAAGGAGCACAGACCTGAACAGAGGGAGCTCAGTGAAGGCCTGCCTCAAGGAGCCGGGCCTGATGCGGATCTACAGAACAGTGTTCTTAACTTGTGCTGCCATGATAGTACTTTCATATTCCAACGGGGTATTCAAATAGGATTCTTCTTGCCTTGTTTTCGGCTGAGGAATGAAGATGAGAGATGCTATATTCCAAAGAGAGTTAGATAAACCGCATTACAGTTTCCAAGAAGGGGCTTAGAAGTGAGTTAGGAAATTTATCCACATTAGGTTTTTGGAGATTTGAGAGAGTCTCTGAATACAGTTTCTGTGAGGAGCTGCTGTTATATTTTTAGCATCCTCCCCATACCCAAGGTAGAAGAGTGGCCAGGACTTATCTTTTTCTTCCAGTTTCAGTTAGACAGACTTTAATTGGATGTTCCAAAGAACTGAACGTGAATCCCAGCATTAGTGAGTAGAGAGGCTTGACTTATGTATGAAACAGAGAGGAATAAGCAGTTTAGTTGCTAAGGCTGCAGATTAGAGGGAAGCTGCCATAACAGTGGGTTTGTTTTCCCAGAGTTTGTTGGGTCTAGAATTACCTGTCCCTACGAGATTTGGGTACTCCTCCTGAGACAGCTGGCAGGACTATTTCCCTGGACTCTTCCCAAATGGGCCACTTAGAGGGTGATAGAGCCTGAACAGCCAGAAGCTAAGGGTGAATTTCTGATCTGCAGGGTTACAGAGGCAGCAAAGCACAGAATTAGTGAAGAATGCTTTGCCCAAGTCAAGGGAGCTTTAAGGGAGTTCCCCAAACTGATGAGATCACATGTTCCTCCTAAGAGCAAAACTCAGCTCCAAGCACCTGCCAGGTCCAGGCATGTTAGAATAAGTCAGGTAAGAACATTAGCCGCCCCCACACTCTCTCTTTAATTCTCTATTAGTTACCAATGATTAGTAAGATGAGAAACAGGAGTCAAAGTGCAAGGCAAGGCAGGATGGGAATGATAGGGTAGACTATTCAAAGAATCAAATCTGTATTTTCCTCTTGACTCAACTGAAGGAATTTTATTATCCAAGAGTGAGTAGGAAATAGGACCACTGGAGTTTTCAATCAGGAGTAGGGGAGGCATTTCCTCCACAGAACACATTTTAAAGGAACAGCAGGAGACAAAAATTTAAGTCTTTTTTTATATCCTATGCATCTTGCTTATTCAAAATATTACATAAACTGCTTGTCCTTGGAGGCCACCCAGCCATAAACAACGGAAAGAGGAAGGGAGAACAAAACTGAATATAATTAAATATTTAGTTCATAGAAAACAACTTAAAAACCAGAAGTAAATGTGGGAACTTGAAGTGACAAGTGTAAATGGTTCCTACCAACAGCAGAAAAGGGAGCATGGAAACAAATTAAATTCAGCTTAAGATAGTAATGTCATATGTTCTATCTATCCAAGGTTCTGTAAACTCATCATTGCTGGAGACATATTGTCAAAATAATCAAGCAGCATTGTAATTTTATACTCCCTTGAATGGTATATGAAGATGCAAAATTCATTCTATCTCACAAGACGTAAATTTTAAATTTTTTGAATTTTACATTTTGTTTTAGAGACAAGGGTCTCCCAGACTGGAGTGCAGTAACTCTCTTTACAGGCATGATCATAGTACACTGCAGCCTTCAACCCCTGGCTTTCAGCAGTCCTCCTGCCTAAGCCTCCCATGTAGTTGGGACTACAGGTGCATTTCCATGCCTGGCTGTTTCATCAATTTAATGGATAAAAAATAGAAACTCAGTTTTATTTGCCAGGAAGTCACAAAATTGATTTATGTTAGTGTGTGTGTCTGTGTGTATGTGTATTTAGGATGAAGACTGTTTGAGGCTTTACCAATTACCATTAACGACATTTTTTTAAGATTGAACCTAGACTATTAACTCCTAGTTACAATGTCATATATTTAGAGCTATCTTATAGAAATAAATCCAAAAAGTGTTTTACCTTTGCACTAGTTATAAGTTAAAATGGAAAACTCTTCTGATTTACTCTTACTGATATTAACACACTGACTAGAATACATATTTATATACACATTTCAATGAAACTAACCATTGGACTGCACCCATATTGATAAAGCATTACAAAGGCTACATTAAATAGTAATTATAGCAAGTATTATAGTTGTAAGTTGTATTTATTACAAGCCTACAAAAGAATAGGATCTTTTGCCAGGTTTCAGGATACATTTCAGCACAGGTTAGAATATGGCTGACAGGTTTTATTTAACTATCTGAAGAAATAGCATGTTTTAGTGCTGTTAAGGGGTATTGCCCTATTTATAAGTGAATTTGCATTAGAATCTCCAAATAAATTAAATTTTGTCTTCTAAATGTTATTATGAAAAAGAAGCCTAGGCATTTAGGTCTTAAAAAGTAATTCGTTTTCTGCTATTGTTTTTTTCCTTTTAAACTATAACTTCTTTGATATTTTAATTCAACAAATACTTGAGAGGCAATTAATGAGCAATGTAATCATAATAAATTGGTGAATTATAAAAGAACTAAAACAAATTACTTTTTAAAAAATTATACCTTTTAAATAAAACATTTTATTACTTCTGAATAATTTGGTTTAATTACCAGGAAAAGGCAAGTTCACTTCATTCATGAGTTCCGCAACTCAAAGGACTCTTATCTAAACACCCCTGTAGGCCAGGCGTGGTGGCTCAGGCCTGTAATCCCAGCACTTTGGGAGGCTGAGGCAGGCGGATCACGAGGTCAGGAGATCCAGACCATCCTGGTGAACATGGTGAAACCCCATCTCTACTAAAAATACAAAAAATGAGCCGGGTGTGGTGGTGCCCACCTGTAGTTCCAGCTACATGGGAGGCTAAGGCAGGAGAATTGTTTGAACCCAGGAGGCGGAGGTTGCAGTGAGCTGAGATTGCACCATTGCACTCCAGTCTGGGAGGCAGAGTGAGACTCTGTCCCCAAAAAAAAAAAAAAAAAAAAATCCCTGTATTAGAAACCTCTCTCACTAGCTGAAAGGTTATAACTACATGCTAAGTGCAGAGAATCTTGCACATAATAGAAACCAGATATATTTTTCTTTCAACATATGAATTAAGATATAAGTAAAAACATTAATCACAATATCTCTAAACAAAATTTTTTCATATTATCATACCTAAGTATCACATATTATGAAAACCATACAGTTGTTTCATTAAACAGCAAAACAGCTCCAAATAGTCACACCACTTAAGGAATCTATTTTGCTTTGTTTGATTAGAAGAAAAAAAATCACATTTCAATTACTCAAGATTAAAAACTATGAACAGATATTGCCTATCATATTTTCTACTTCAAATAGTTATTTGACTTTGATTCGGTTCTTTTCAACAATTTACCTGAAGTTAAATATCCAGCTTAAGCCAAACAGAAATTTTTTTATATTTGAGTTTTATTTTATTTTATTGGTAAAGTAAGAAAGTCACATAAAGACAAATACTGCATGACTATTTTAGATATCTAAAATAGTCAAATTCATAGAATCGAAGAGTGGCATGGTGGATGCCAGTGGCTGGGAAGAGAGAGAAATCGGGAGCTACTAAGCATTTTTATTTACTGCTGTGTGTTTTTTCTTTCTCAAGCACATTCAGTAACTATTTCCTTTCTAATAAGACTTTTAAAAAGCAAAATTAGTAATAATACAAAAGAAAGGTCAAACAAAGCAAACTTGATTCCATGTTTTCAAAACGATGAGGGAAAAGGGAACACATGGGAATGTGTTTTTTTTTTAATGGAAGAAAACAATATAAATCAATTCACCTCAGGAAATACTGACTAAAATATTGCTTTTAATTGGTACAGATTCATATTGAACTAGGTAAATATCTTAATATTACATCTCTTCCTTGTCAATGGAAAACCAATATGTTAATGTTAGATGCATGTTATATTTTGGAAGTGCAGTGTGAAACAATAGCTTAAAAATTATAAATAAAAAAGAAAAGAGTACAAAAATGCTCTAAAGTAAATGATAGAACTCATTTCATCCGTAGTTGCAGAAAGAACCAAATATTGCTAACTCTGGATGACCTCTGACAATATTCTGGGTTTGAAAATGTTTCAAAACACAAATTCCTTTGAGGAATTTGGCTATGTAATTTAACCTATTTGATTCTCATTTTTTGTTGTTGTTATATTAAAGTATATCTATCCTAGAGCAATCTTATAAATATTCGAGATCATAGAGAACACTGTATATACAATAAGTTATATAGTCCCATATTCGTGGACATTCGACATCCAATTGAGGACACCATCTTGGAGTGTCTTCCATGTGTCAGTAATTATACTACAAAAATAGTTATATATTTATATCTCTCTATATATTATATCTATATTATATCTCTATATTAAAAATTGACAAGTTTTACAAATAAAGCCTTTATCAAGAATATATGAAGAATTATAGATACGGCAATATTTTAGAAAAAGTAAAATATAGTTTAGTAACATCAATGTTGTTGGACCCACTTTAGAGAATCATTAATTTAGAATATAAAGCCTTAATTATTTTCATTCTAAATTATTTTGAAGTGACCCAAAAAAGGTATACAAAGAAATTCATTTAGAGTCATTCCCTTCCTTCTAAACACTCTGTACTCATTTTTTAAAGCTAGCAAGTCTGTGAAAATCCTTGGAATAGGACTGGAGACAACATAAACAAAGAGATAAAAAATGGATAAGGAAAATAATGACAAAACTGAAAGCAACAAAATCTTGTGAGTGTTCCAAATACTTGGAAGCCAAGAGTCCCAGCTGTGTTACTGCAGAAATTTATCTCTATGCTAATATTCAGAAATCTACTAAGAGATCTAATGAAGAAATCCAGACTAGCAGTGATTGCATAAAGGAAACATCTGCCTGAACAACTGTGTTTATTCCTTAATATAAAGCCTAGATATATTTTAAGTTCATATATTCTTATTAAAATTTCAAGTTTATATTTTTAAATGTTAAAAGATATATGCCATTATAATAATACTCTTTTATTTTTCAAGTTTATACATCTAGATACATAAATTTGGAAGAGACAAAGTTATCCCCATGTAAAACCTGAAGGAATCCATATTTTTAGGTTAGATGTTCTTCCATGCAAGTTTACTGACTCAAAGATGGTTTCTGAATTAAGACGAATCACATTGTTGTTTTATGTTGAGACAGAAAGCATGTTTAGCTCTTTGATGCCCCATTCTAGTTAAGTATAGAAGTTTTTGTGGTCTGCTTTCAGTGTTGTTTCACTGACATGTTCTTTTCCTTGGTAAGTACCCTAGTATAGTGTAATACAGTTATCCTTCACATCCCTGGGAGGTTGGTTGCAAGACTCCCAAGAATATCAAAATCCGTGGATGCTCAAGTCTCATATAAAACAGTGTAGTATTTGCATACAACTTATGCATCTCCTCCTGTATACTTTAAATTGTCTGTAAATTACTTATAATAGCTAATATGTTATATAAAAAGTAGTTATAGTGTATTTTGATTTGTAATTTTACTGTTGTATTATTATTTTGGGGTCTTTTTTGGTCTGATTATTTTCCATCCATGGTGATATTGTCTGGCTCTGTGTCCCCACCCAAATTTCATCTTGAATTGTAATCTGAATTATCCCCATGTACTGGGGGAGGGACCCCATGGGAGGTGATTACATCATGGGGCAGTTCCCCTATGCTGTTCTTGTGATACTGAGTGGGTTCTCATAGATCTGATGGTTTTATAAGGGACTTTTTCGCCCCTTCACTCTGCACTTCTCTGTCCTGCCACCATATGAAGGAAGATGTGTTTGCTTCCCCTTCTGCCATGATTGTAAGTTTCCCAAGGCCTCCCCAGCCGTGTGGAACTGTGAGTCAATTAAACCTCTTTCCTTTATAAATTACTCAGTCTTGGATACATCCTTATAGCAGCATGAAGATGGACTAATACACATGGTTTTTTATTCGTGGTTCTGAATCCACAGATGCAGAACTCACAGATATGGAGGTCTGACTGTATATAAAAATCAACAATTCCTTTCTATTTTTCTGGTACAAGTTGTTCCCTTTTCTGGTCAAAGAGGTGAGAAACTAATTCCAAACTGCTTTAATGTGAATCTATACAAACTTCATTAAATGTAGAATACCTGTCATAATCCACAGATTCTTCAAAGAGGTTTCCACTAATTTTTGAGAATGCCTAATGTATTCGTTAGTGAATAGAGTATAATTATTTAAATGTCAGTGCCACCAGCACTTACAAATTCTTAAACTCTGAGAAAACCTCAATTTGTTCCCATGCTCTTTGGCTTCCAGTTGGTTCATCCAATGGGGAAACCCAACTACTAGATACTGAAGGAAGAGAGTAGAGTGACATTCAATTTTTTGTTCCCCTGGTTTACTCCCTTGATTTTTTCTTGGGTTGAACATGGCCTTTGACTACCTTCAGGCAGCTTAGCTATACAGAACTTTTTCTTCTTCCATCTCTATCTCCCTTCCTCCATTCAAGCTTAGGGGTGGAATCAGCTGGCCTTGGGTTCCTTTTCTTGCTCTGAGTTCCTATAGAACCCGTTGTGGTTCCCTGACACTCTATAGACATTCCAGTAATCATTTTGTAACAAATCCTCTTCAAACTATCCTAATTTATTCCTTTTGGGACCCTAACTAATAATATTTTAATCTTGGTCTCTCTTAAATTAAATTCGCTAATTTCCCCAAAATATTTTCCTTCTTTTTTTTATTTCTACAGCTCTGTTAATAAAATAGTACTATCTTTCAAGTCATGTTATTCTAAACTTTCATAATAAAACTAATATTATTCACTTACTTAGAGTATTTTAATTAAAAATCCACTTCATGTACATACTTTCATTTAATCTCACAACAACCTATACCTCATGACTTCTATTGCACACATGAAGATATCCTCTTTGCAATGCCATGGCTGCATCCATCCAGAATGCTATCTTACTACTGGTGCATTTGATCTCCACTACACACAGGTGACTACTCTTTCCTTATCTGCATGACTAACTGCTAATTTATTTTCATTCTATCTCTGTAGTGGGTCTCATATCTATTTTTTTTTAACTCCTGTTATTTCTACCTATAAACCACTTAAATAAAGTCCCAGACAGGTCTCTCATCAGCCATTTCCAGCACTCCTCACTCATGCCAGTTTATGAGATCTCATCTTTGTGTGAGGTCCAAACCCTTCAGAGACTTCTCATCACCCATTAATATCTTTCCCAGTCCACAGTTGTCTAGTCTGGTTAAAACGCTCACTCTTTTCTTTGTTACCTCCTGCATTACAGTCCACATAAATTACTACAAGAAAATTGTACCTGATTTTTCCTATTCACCTTACTCATATTTTATCCTATATGGAGAAATTCTCACTTTTTCAGAAACTGGCAAAATACTCCCCATCTTAGCAGGCTCAATTAAAATATGAAAATAGGTTCCTTGGATGGAAAGAAATCACTTTGCACTCTAAACTTCCATAGCATTTCCACTTTCTGCCATTCTCCTCGACACATTGCACTTCTACTTTGATCGTCTATGTCTGTATTTTTATGCCCATTCCATATGTTAGACTCTTAAGCTAAAGGAATGTGTCTTATGCATTGTTGCAGCACTCAGGTAGTCACTAACTCTTTATTGACTGAAAGAATGAGGCCCAGAGAAAATGACATTTGTAATTGTTTTTAGGAGTGTTAACTCAGCAACTTATAAACAGCAATGTTCCTTTACAACTTTTCGATTGCTGTTTTTAACTGTGCATTACCAAATCCTACTTTCCATTTTTAAAAATATCTGAGGTAGATTATGTAACTTTCTGGTAACTTTCAGCAGTTAAAATATAATCCCAAGTAACTGTTTTTATAGAATTATAATTTTTATCTAAGAAATGGTAAAAGTATAAGCCTAGATATGTAAATACATATCTATAGATGTATTTTTACTCTATAACATTCTTACCCCAAGAATGAAGTCATCATTGTGCAGTTTCAACTGAGGTAATATAAAGTGAAAAAGCACAAAAAATAAAAAAGTATTTTTTTCTAGTTTCATATTAATGCTGCAAAATCTGTCTTTAACACAGTAGATATATAATAAAATTTCACTGCATCTACGCAGGGAGCTTCTTTCTCACATGTGTTTGCATTTATTACTTTCTGTTAGTAAATGAGTTATCTATAGTTTATCTAAACATCAGTTAACCAAAAATATCCACTGTTTATCCAAACATTAATTTCTTTGCTTTATAAATAAAAACTAACATAATCTTCAAAAGTTTAAGTCTTCTTTTTCAGTTTTATTCTCTTTAAAAAAAGTACATGCCATACTGTCACAGAGGCCAGTCATGTGTCACTAATGCTTTCTCAGTCTTGAGTGCTACCTCAATTCAATGTTGCTTAATGTTCCAAGTTACTTAAGCTCTATCCTTTCTCAGATACTTTATCTCTTCAGATGAGACATAACATTAAAGAATCTAACCACACTGAACAGATTATTTTACCTTTTGACTGCATAAACTCAGTTTGAGATAATTACATTAGTGTTTGATGTTCTTTCTGCTTCTAACTACATTTATCCTTGCTCTGTGTTATTGGATAACACTGTGCTGTAGATGGGAACCAGCTTCCTCTGGATCACACGTGATTTAAAAATGAGCCAGAATAAATACAGCCATTTGGGGCTATTAGGAATGGTCACTTAAGAAGCTATGGTTAAACACATTTTCCTATGTTCTTTCAGCAGAGCTTCCTAAAAATCCGGCTTTATTCTTCCCATCCCATTAACACACAGTTTAAAAGGAAAAAGACATTGTCATTCAGGGTCTTGTATGTGCTAGGCACTGTGCTGTGATACTACATACATTACTTCCTTCTAATTCCTTCAAGAAAAAGCTAATTTTATAACTGAAGCTCAAAGAAGTTAGCTCGTTCCCATGATCATGTAGGGAGCAAATCGGTGGGGTGACATCCTAAAGACCACTCTTTCCCCTACCTCAGGCTACACCCCAAGGATAATCCAGAGATATTGAGAGTGAAGACAGCTCCCACAAACCCCAGCATCTTCTCACATATATCCAGTGATGTGCTGGTGAGTAAGCCCAAATAAGCTTTCATTTATAGCAGTTAGAGATTTACGTGGAGCCACCTTACACTGGTAATTTTTCCCACTGCAAAACTCAGCCTAACATGTTAACGGTGCCATCATCCCCAATAATTTCATGAACTCTAACAGTTCTGTCTTAAATATCCACTCTTTTGATACACCACATACCATACGTCCAGCCTGTTGACTTCAGTATTCTCAATTCATCAATCATCAATCCCACCCTTAACTGCTTCCCCAGCTTCACTTCCCTATATATCAAGGTTTTCTGGAGCTTTATGTGGGATTGTAATTTAATTGATACTTTGTAGCAGCTGTATTTAAGCATGGAGTACATGAATAACAAAGAAAATAAGGGATCAGGGACTATGTAGAATCCTTAACATAGGTTTTAAACTTTGAAGGCATTCATGTATTTTCTGGATTTAAATTATTTTAACTTGGATTTCTGATCCTATGCCCATTTTTTCCGAACAGATTTCTTTCATTTTCATACATGCGGTATAAACATCCTTTTTTTTCAATCAATAAAAATGACCTGCCATATGCCATCATAAAGCTTCTCAGGCTTTATTTTTATTAGTTTACATTACATCCTTACTTAGTGGGATCTGGAAAACCCTGAAAATCCAATTATATCAGTTAGCCAAAACTAGTTTTTAGATGCATTATTTTAATATATTTTACATATTCCAGCTATAGTTATTTTTTATAAACATGAAGAAATTATGGTTTTCATGTGTCAAAAGTAATAATTTTAAAGCAGAGAAAACCACAGCAGCGGCGGTCAAGCAAGCTATTCCTGATGAGCCTCTCCATGGAATGGCCTGCAACTTTGAGGACTTACTCTTTGCCCGAGTGTTTTTAAACCCACAGCTTCACCATAGCCATAAAGAAGGGTAAGGCGTACATGAACTCTGCTCAACTCAAACACATGGTGAAAAGAGCACTGTATGCTTGAGGACCTTTATGCACCACATTCAGTGACAGCTGTCAGCTGTGAGCGTAATTATAAGTTTTCATTACAGGTTTTAATTCAAACCAATCTTTATTTATTTGAAGGCTAATATTAAAATGGGCATGTGAAAGTTGCACGTATTACGAGCAAAACTCTGCCTAAAACCATACGTATGAACCTAAACACTCAGGCATAAACATAAAAAGCCATACACATCTGGTGCATGCACACACACAGAAGCTTTAAATTGTCTTTATCCTTCTCTTAATTTTTTTTTGGCTGAGCATGTATCATTGAATTGCTATAAAGTAAGTGTTTATGGAGCTGTACCACAATTCATAATCTGATTACTAGTTGTGAGACAAACAAAAATAGAATGTATCCATAAAAATGAAGAAGTATTTATTATCCATTGATCTTTGTTACTGTATATTTATAACTGAGTTATATTGATCACTTGTTTAAAGTATGCAATTATATAAAATATGATTTTGTTAATGAAATCATATTTATCATATAAGACAGCTACCAGGAGAGTCATTGTACCGGAAACTAAGAGAGGTAAATGGATAACACTTACACTATGCAAAGTTTCCACTACACGTGTCATTAATTTCTCTAGTTCCTAGATAATTTTTTCAGGTGGAATAAGATGTTGACAAAACGGAAGCAATTAAACAACCAACATAGATTCCTGAATTGCCTGGTCCGCTCTGCATTCTCTACTCACCCTCATGTCTACATTCTGCCACTAACTCAAATATACTAAACCATTGAGCATGCCATCAACCCCCCCACTAAAAATTTTCAGTCAGACTCAGACAGGTGCCATCTGACCATCCCCTCAATGCTAATCCATAAGAAAAGAAAAGTGACAGTAGGAAAACATCAGGATAAACACACATAAATAAATTCTTAGCCAGTTCTGACTTCTGCTTATCTGGACCAAGCAGGGTATTACATAAGAGGAGCCACACAGAAGAAATGTAAGGGACAACTCTTTGAATTGTAGTTGGAGAGATACTGATCACAGGTACCACTCTGTTACTCACACTCCTTTTATTGGCCTCCGTAGCATCTGTTCAAAGAAAGTATCATATTTACCAAAATTTAGTGATCTCATGAAACTTGAAGACTTTAGGAATTCTGCCATAGAACTCCAATGACTAGGAGGCCATATCAGGCAGCCTTCTATTGTTTGCAGTGGCAAAACTATAGTCAACAATTTATTGTACATTTTAAAATAACTAAAATACTTAGACTGTTTGTAATACAAAAAAGGTTAAATGCTTGAAGTGATGCTTGCCCAATTTACCCCGAAGTGATTATTACATATCATATGCCTGTATCAAAATATCTCATGTACCCCATAAATATGTGCACCTACTATATACCCACAAAAAATTTAAAAAATAAAATTATTTTTTAAATATGAAATATCAACAATAAAATATTTGCAGCAATAAAATAATCCTTGTATCTGCTCTCCACGTAATGAATAAACATTGCTGCCTAGGAGACCACTTAGGGAAATTTACTTTTACTAAATGTAAATGATGTTATTGATTAACCTTGTCAATAAACAGAAGTGAAAATAATGAATAAAAAACACACAAACGAGCAAACAAAAACGCCAACAGCAACAGTGAAACAAGAGTTTTCCTGATCGAATCCCCATCTCCTCACCCTGTACTCAGCAACGGCCTTATGCCTTTTGCAGGTTAGAATCCTAGAACTGAGAAATAATAATTGTTTGGTGAATTGATAAATAATTATGGTTTGGTGAATGGAGAAATAATAATTGTTTGAAGAATGGAGAAATAATAGTTGTTTAATTTTTATAAGAGTTTCTACTAAAGCCTTTACATACATTTTCTCTTTTTATCCTACTACAACCCAATGTAAGAGTAGCATTATCACCATTTTACAGATGAGAAAACTGAGACGCTGGAGGCTAAGTAACTTGCTGAAGGTTATGCTGTTGAAATTTAGTAAGACTAAGATTAGAAGGCAGTCCATCTGGTCCCAGAACCATAAGTTTTAACTCCTGTGGCTAGGTTCTTACTATGAGCTGCAGATTTATTTCACATCTGAACTTTCACACATTATATGTGGGCAAATTGCCAGGAACCTAAGCTTGATTTGTTGGTACACCATCTTCCATTCCAAAATGCCTGTAGCCAGCCCTCCTTAATCCCTCAGCCTATGGGGCTAAAAATCTGTTTTTTTTTTTTTCCTATGGCCATACCTCTATTTTACATTTTGTCAACCCGTCAAAGTATTGTACAGTATTCATCTACAGATCTCCCTCATGTCCATATCACACCCTGTGGACTTGCAGAGGTTGCACATTGAAATATGACTTACCCTGCTAACTTGCCATTATCTACATCTTCAACGTCCTGATAACTCATTTTTTTTCTCATAGTGTTATTTATCATGTTTATGTGTGCTGGCTGTTTGTTTGGATTATAAATGTGTTAAGAGTAGTCTTATATATCTATAATTTCATAGAACCTATCAAAGGATACTGCAATATCCCTAACTCAGGTTAAAATAAGTCACATAATATGGATCAATGCTGCTTCCATATTGTTATTATTTGGTGAGAAACCAGGCTGTTTATAGACAGGAAATGTTCAAGTGGGTGTTAAGAGGTTTTCATTAAGAAAAGCTAGTATTCTATTATATGGTAGTTAAACATAGGATGAAACCAAAATGACATTTTCTGCTTAGGAGCAACAGTATATTTCACAGACACACACAAATCACTCATTAGATTATTTGACTCCATCTTAAGTCCTTTTGATCACCTCCTATGTATTATGTACATTGCAACAAACATAAGGGGCAGTGTATGTTCCATAGACTATATTATACCAAATTCTAATAAAGAATTTCTATTTACTGTTGAACTATAGTCATAATTTATACTTGCTTGATTTGTAAACAAGACAATCTTAACAGCAACCTAAACAGCATTAAAGAATTATATACTAGTGTCACCAAATATAGAATATGGTGACATGTTTGAATTACAGTTCAGCTATTAAGTGATTGCTCAGTCTTAGATAAGACAGTTAACTAATCCACATCTTAATTTCTTAACAATACCTGTCTCAATTAATACCTTCTTCATGGAGGTCTCATAAGGAACAAATACCATTTCAGATAGATGTCACTTATACACATACATATATACATGCAAGTGTTTTGTAAGCTGAAAGGTATTTAACATTATTCATAACTCTGCAGTCATCTTTATTTTCTTTTCTTCAGAATTATTAGATTTTAGGGCAAAGCCATATTATAGCACAGATGACAAAATAACCTAGATGATATAATTGTTTAGTTTTACACAATGTCCTGCACAAGTCTGTGAACACTGCTGGTCTTTAATAATCCCACACAGGGCAACCATTGTCCTTGTGGGAGAAGCATGACATAGCACGGCAAAAAATTGAAAGAGAAATATTTCTACTACACAAGAATACCTGAGTATGGATTTTATCACAGACATTTGGGGATTTTTGTCTACATAGTTAATTAAAAGATTCAAGTTAGTGTACTCAATCTCTTATAATTAACTAATTTAAAAATTAGTGTTGAAAATTACCATTAAAAAGTTGAAAAACATTACACTGTGTCTAACTGTGATAAACTCTAACAGAACATTTGATATATTTAAAAGAAAAGCATGCTTTCATAGCCCGTGACCGGATTTGAAAATGGAACTCTATACTGTTTGAGGTTTCTCTGGACTTTATATTTTAGTAGATTGCTTTTACATATGAAGGGCTGACCCCTGCAACCTCAGCTAAGTATTAGTTGTTTTTCAGAAATAGTAGGAAATGATGATGAGTTTTTCCACCTCTTTCCAAGTCTTCTGTATGGCAATAATATCTACTGACAGGATGGTTTGTAAAGATGGGGTGTGGCTTATTGGCAAATGACAGAGAGATCTGTCTTTACAACTGAATTCCAAGCCAAGAACAGACAAGGACAAACAGCTAAGATTCTCCCTCCTACCATCAAATATTTTGACAATTTCTCACTGGTATAAGTAGACATATTATCATAATGAATAAATTCAATGAATATATCCTTATTATTTATTCACTGAATATATCCTTATTATTATAGAAATAAAGAACAAGATATTTCAGAGCTCTCTAACCAACACACCAATGGATATAAAGATCAAACACAAAGGTCTCTAGCTTAAAATGAAGGATGCCGTTTAAATTTGACTTTCCTATGTTGCTACTTTGGAATAGGTAGAGTGATGTGTAGTACAAAATATTCAGCTCAAAAAGAAAAGAAATTATTTCCAATTCTTGTCTCTTACACTCATCTTAAGATCTCAGAATCAATGAGGTGATCATGGGTGATACGATGATTTTTTTAATGATGAATTACTGTATTTTTACAGTAAATGGGATCTACTTTTCACCCCTTTATACTAAACAAGAAAATGAATAATATAGGGCCCACCCTATTCATAAGAATATTCAAAAGAGAATGCCCAGTTAAGACAATTACCAAAAAAATTAGAACCTAAGCAAAAAGTATATTCCACAAAAAGATGTTAAAATAAATTTTAAGAAACAATTTTGACTACATATAACTGAAGCAACTTCAGTGAGTCTGGGATCCATTAGATTTATAGATTTAATATGTAGTGCCAACATTATTTTAAGAGAAAATAAATAGTAAAATATATTTTCTGTTACATAATATTAAGACACTAAATCTGTGTATCTATGTCAAACTCTACAGCTATAAAAACACATATGAAATCATTATTTATATCACTTGACCCTAAAAATATTCCTTTTAAATAAGTAGGTATTATGTCCACTTTCTGTATAAAGAAACTAAGGTTCAGACATGTTTATTTAATCATTCATTCTTCACCACAATTATTTAGTGCCTGCCATAGAGTAGGTACCACACTAGTTATTAGGAATATAATAGTGAATAAAACAGATTAATTTTTTACTTTTCGAACTTATTCTTAGAAAAGTATGTGGATGGAGAGACAAGTAAAAATTCCAAGTGGGGATAAATGGTAGAAACAAAAATAAATCATGATATGGAGCTAGAAAGTAAGGGGATAGGATGCGGAAGCTACTTCAGATAGGGTAGTCATGGACAGCCCTTTGAAATGGTGATATTTTAACAGGGACTGCAATAAAATGAGAGTGAAACATGCATGCATTGGAAGACATTATATTCCATAAAGAGAGGACAGTAAGCTCAAAGACCTTAAGGTGGAAGTAGCTCAAAGATTTTGAAGGACAACTGTGTTTTGCAAGAGACAAGTGTCCCAGCAGCCTGGGAGAGTGCCTGAGAACATTTAACCAGAAGGACAATGTGCAAGTTTTTTTTTTTTTTTTTCAGATGGAGTCTCGCTTTGTCACCAGGACTGGAGTGCAGTGGCCCAATCTTGGCACACTGCAACCTCCACCTCCCGGGTTCAAGCAGTTCTCCTGCCTCAGCCTCCCAAGTAGCTGGGACTACAGGCACACACCACCACACCCAGCTAATTTTTGTATTTTTAATAGAGATGGGATTTCACCATGTTGGCCAGGATGGTCTTGATCCTTTGACCTCGTGATCCACCCACCTCGGCCTCCCAAACTGCTGGGATTACAGGCATGAGCCATTGCGCCCAGCCAACAATATGCAATTTTAACTCTTTTGTTTTTTACAATGGTATACAATGATTAAAAATTATCCCAGCTTTAGAGGAAAATGTTACATGTATAAATGCATTGTGTGAGTGGTTTGGGAGTACAAAAATTAAAAAAACAAACACCTATGTTTCAGAGTTCTCTGAGTAAGAACATCACTCAAGAAAGTGAAATGCAAGCCAATAGGAAGTGTATCTTGGAACTAGATTGGACCATAACGTTATAAATCTCTGGAAATTTACTGGAATGTTAGGGAACACAGTGGGTTCTAATACAATGTAGAATATTGACTCTAGTCCATGCTATTTAAATATTTAAAAACTGGCCTATGTTTGCTGAAACTTAGGTAATACATATGAGGTTTCGTTACACTCTCTCTAATATTTTCTAATGCAGATCAAATGTCGTAATATCATATAACAATTTAGCAAAGTTTACTCTTCTGGAAATCAGAATTAAACATAAAATCAATGCCGGGACATTAAAAATAAAATGTGCATACCAGGATGAACATCTACACAAATTGTTTCTTTTAACAACCTTTAAGTAATCTGTGACAAGTTTAAACCTATACTAAGGCCTGAAGTTCAAACACGCAACCATAAACTTTAAGCTTCAGTTCTTATGAAAGTTAAGAGTACCAAGAATGTTCATCTGCATGACACACTTCCCTGTCCAGAGTGTACTCTTCTATCCTAATCTTTCCTGATCTCTATGCCTCATTCTACACAGTTAACTTTGCCTTTTGAAATAGTTTGTTTTTCACTTTCTGACTCTGTTACCCATGATCTTTCTTCTTTCTCTCATCATTTTCTCAGCTTCCTTTGCTCGAATCCTCCCAATGGCATACCCCAAATTTTAGGTACCAAAAAGGGTAGGTTCTGGCTGCCATCTCTTCTTTAGCTGTACTCTTTCCTTACATGCACAGATCTACTCTCAGGTTTTAAAAAGTATCTATAGACAACCCAATTTATATCTTTAACACAGACATCGTCTATTAATTCCAGGCTCTTGAATTTTACTTTTTACTCCATTAGAACTTCAATTCAATGAAAATATTTCTATAAAATATATCTTAATTTCCTATCACACCTATCATTTCTACACTTCAATAAATGACAATATCATTCACAAAAGTAATCAAACTAAAACTGTGGAGTAACTTTTGATTCCTCTTTCTTTCACCATTCCATCAATCCTATAATATCAACCTTTAAGATGAGTCTCATATCTAGTTATTTTTCAGTTTCTATTGACAATAACCTAGCCCAAGCCATGCTCACGCCTCTGTCCTAGACTATTGCAATAGGCTCCCAATTGGTCCTGTTATTTCTACTCTGACTTCTCTTTAATCTACTTCTTGAAAACAGAAAATTTTCTACAAATTACTTATACTGCAGTGGGGAGATTTCTCTTGAATATACAAGTGAGTTTTAGGGAAGTGGATCATCTGACAAATATTAAGCCATAAAGTGATCCAAACAGAAGGGAAAGGGTTCAAAATGCAACATTGGCACAAAATATGTAGTTGTGAAAAGTCTGTGAGAAATGTTTTGAGTTGCAACAGAAATTAAAATGAATTATTTGTAATAACAAGTCAAATTAAGTCTCAAACAAATACAGGCTTGTAGCGAGGATCATTTCCAAACTAAGGCTTAAAATTAGAGCTAAAGGAAAATTTAAGTTTTAATGTAACTACAAACAATGTGAGAGAAAACTATCAGTCAAGACTTTGGACTGAAAACAAGACTGAAGTGCAGAATGTACTGGATTTTTAAGTTAAATAATTAAATTACTTGGGAATATTATTGAATAGAATGTATAATAGTAAGAAATTAGACACATAAAATCCTATAGCTTTAATATTTCTTTCTTACAGATTGTTGGCTATAAGGACATTGAAGTAACAGGTCATCATATAAAGACCGTAACTCTTTAATAAAATGCCTAGTATTGGGGCTATTCTGTGTAACATAAAGACTAATAGGTTATAATTTTTGTATATGATGCATGGCTTTGTCTCCTACGCATGAAGTACTAATGAATTTTCTGAATGATATCTGACATGACTGAAAAGAGATAAACAATAGTTTAAATGGGACTAGTTTAGGTTTGTCATGACTCTTTCTTTATTTTATATATTTTTTAATTTTTTTAATTTTGTGGTTACATAGTAGCTGGATAGCTTTTGGTATATAAAAAATGAACCTTGAAGTTTATTTCAAACCTGAAGAGATTAAAAAATGAAGAAGATTTTTCTATAGGTAGTAAGAAAGAACTCTTAAAAAATAGGATCAGAACAAAACACGAAAACAAATTCTAAACAGGCACATTCATAGATAAATGCATGTCAAAATGGTCTACAAGTAGGGTTGTTGACACTGATACTATGGTCATTTAAATTCAATTAGATGCTGTCTTAAGGGAAACTAAATTTAGTATCACTGGTAATAGGAAAGAAGGCTTGGTGGGCTTGGTGAACTGAATAATTTTTTTTTTTTTTTTTTTTGAGACAGAGTCTTGCTCTATTCCTCAGGCTGGAGTGCAATGGTGCAATCTAGGCTCATTGCAACCTCCGCCTCCTGGGTTCAAGCAATTCTCATGCCTCAGACTCCGGAGCAGCTGGGATTACAGGTGCCTGCCACCACGCCTGGCTAATATTTGTATTTTTAGCAGAGATGGGGTTTTGCCATGTTGGCCAGGCTGGTCTCGAACTCCTGACCTCAGGCAATCTGCCTGCCTTGGCTTTGCATAGTGCTAAGATTACAGGCATGAGCCCTCATGCCCAGTCCCTTAATTAATTTCTAATTCTTCTACTTCTTTTCTTTGGCTACAATAGCTTCTGCAGTTACAGCATTTGAATTCACAAAGTATTAGTTGCCAAAAGGAAATTTCTTTTAAGGAGCTAGTATATGAGCCATAGAAATTGTATACTAAAACTCAAATAGAGTACTTGCCTAAGAATATTTTCAAGTCGATTTTTAAAACCTCTCTACTTTTAGATGAAAATAGAGAATAGCTACCTCAAAGACATATGTATTTTCCACTGAAAGGTGACAATATCAAAACTCACTTGTAAGTTATTCTCTATTTTCAGAATATAAAATGACATTTCAAGGCTCTCACTAAAATTGCTGTAGTCATAGCCAATCCCACAGAAATAAAACCATCTAAGGTAATGATTTTCAATCTATGTTCCAAAAAAGGAGCTGGAGTATTCCAATTCTTTACCCGTGATGCATTTCAAAAAACTATTCCCTTCTATTTCTTGAACTAACATTACTGTGAACTGCTAAAACTCTGAAATCTCAGACTCTAATTGTCCAGCATTTGCTCATAAAATTTTATCCTTCTAGGCTTATCATGCAAATAATATTACATCTCAACTTTGCTGAAACCTCCATCCCCCTGAAGAGTTCCAGTCTCTTCCATTTCTTTTGCCCTTCTCTCCCATTAACTTCTTTCCATTATCTTTTACATAAAAAGCCTATGTCTTCAACTACTTATTTTTTAGTGTGCACATACTTCTTGCCCCCAAAGACTGATGTTCATCTTCTTTTATTTGATTCTGCACCAATAATTCTGCAATGGAATCAAATTTGGAGAAAGAATTTTTAAAGATGGGTCTTATACTAGATATTTGTTAATTGGGGACTTGCTTAACTGACAGGGAGTATTTCTCTAAAGAATAATCTAATAAACTTGGTTCTGGGCAAAAATGTAGTAACTGAGTTTTATGCATTAAGAATGTATTTCATATAAATAAGAGAATAGTTTCTCCCTCTAGCTATAGGTATTCCACCTAATAACCATGACTGATTAGTGTTTAATACAGAGATGTCTTCCAAGTCTCCTCCATTTTTTTCTTCCACACTTTTTAACTTTCTCTTTCTGTCTCTAGTTCACTTTTTGAAAGTTTTTAAAAACCTCCAAAGGATGGCCAGGCATGGTGACTCACATCTGTAATCCCAGCACTTTGGAAGGCCGAGGTTGGGAGATCACTTGAGGTCAGGAGTTCAAGACCAGCCTGGCCAACATGGTGAAACCTGTCTCCACTAAAAATACAAAAAATTAGTCTCTCATCGTGGTGCATGACCATAGTCCCAGCTACTCGGGAGGCTGAGGCAGGAGAATCGCTTAAACCTGGGAGGTGAAGGTTGCAGTGAGCCGAGATCGCACCACTGCACTCTAGCCTGGGCAACAGAGCAAGATTCCATCTCAAAACAAAACACAACAAAACAAAAAGATTATAAATTTATAATTATTTAGCAATGCAACATTCTTTTAACAGATTCTTTAACTGTGATGAGTAGAGATACATTTTATTGCCAAGTAGTATTACACTTAAAGGCTAGCTAGAGGCTTCATAGTCAATATACATAAAACTATAGACAATTAGATGCTAAGAATTGCTTAATATATTATTGGAATATTTTTTCCACAAAAAAAAAAGCACCAGTTGGTGAGCTGAAGTTCCTTTGTTTCCCAAAACAGAGAAAAAACGGTTCATATTTTTAGTCAGTCTGTATAGCTATACTTTAAATATTATTTCAGGAATAAATGAAATATAATATCAAATAGATATAATCTACAACATCAGTATTAGAATAGTATTGATAACGTCTTTATAACCATGGAGTTTTGCTGTGTCACTGAAGCACTGTATCAAGGAGGTGCCCTTTCATTTTTTGTGAAGTTTTTCATATAAAAAAGCTAGAAGGAATTTATACAGTTTTTGTTTAAACAAATTTGAAAATTTATTCTTTAATTATATGGACAAAAAACTGAAAAAGTAAAAGATGTGTTTCTTATATATATAAAGAAATATCAGGGACATTAATATGAAAATGCTTATCTTAGGTGATCTATTAAATATAATATAGCTAAAATGGTGATAATGTAAAATGCATATTTAAATATACTTTAATATGTATAAAAGCAAATCATTTGCAGGTGGAAATCCAGCCTAGAATATCATTGAAATATAATGGACCTCATGTACAATATAATTCCCTTAAATTATAATTAAGGTAAGATAGAGATTATAACTATAATAATTTTCTGAGATGTTTATATAT
This sequence comes from Homo sapiens, assembly GCF_000001405.40. Taxonomy (NCBI): domain Eukaryota; kingdom Metazoa; phylum Chordata; class Mammalia; order Primates; family Hominidae; genus Homo; species Homo sapiens. The sequence continues at coordinate 92,239,663 of NC_000013.11, read as the reverse complement.
AATGAATCTGATATATTGTTGTTTTCACTTGATTGGATACGTCTTTTTAAACAATGATTTAAAATTCAATGGCAGGATATTTTATGACTAATTTCAAGGACAAATTTATATTTCTTAGAAAATAATAATATACGCAAAGAAGGTGTGTAGTGGTGTGTTGTATATATTGGAACCAAATGACCATGCATGCAACACTATGGATGGTTTAATAACAATAAATAGGAATAAGTTATAAGAATTGTGCGGGTATTCACTGAATGATTTTGCATCAATAAGTAATGTTGTTTTATTAGAAACATTGTTGAATAAAATTAAAGACCTAAATAAATGTAAAAACAACCCTTGTTCATTTTTAAGATGGCAAAACTCTCCTATTTATTGACAGATTCAGTAAAAATCCTATTAAAAAGTCAGCTTGCTTCTTTACAGAAATTGACAAACTAAACTAAAAGTCATACAGAAATTCAAGGGAAATCAAATAAGCCAGTAGAATCTTGAAAAAAAAAAAAAGTTGAAAGACTCACACATCACAATTTGAAAACTTACTACAAAGCTACAGTAATCAAGACAGTGTGGTACTAATGAGAGTCTACAAATAAAACTTCACATTTATAGTCAATTACTTTTTCAACAAGGTGCTAAGATAATTCCATGAAAAAAAAAATAATCTTGTCAGCAAATGGTTCTGGGACAAAACATGCAAAGAAATTAAACTGGAGCCCTACCTCACACCATATATAAAAATTTAGTCAAAATAGTTCAAAGACCTAAATATAAGAACTAAAAAAAGCTGTAGAAGAAAATATAGGCATAAATCTTGATGACCTTGGATTAGGCAATGATTGTTTAAATATGACACCAAAAGCACAAACAATAAAAAAAGATAAATTGAACATCAAAATTAAAAACTTTTGTGTTTCAAAGTAACCCCACCAAGATAATGAAAAGTTAACCCAGACAAAGGGAGAAAATATTTGGAAATTATATGTCTAATAACGGACTTGTGTAAGTTAACCCAGAGAAAGGGAGAAAGTATTTGGAAATTATATGTCTAATAATGGACTTGTGTCTAGAATACATAAGGACTCTTATAACTCCATAACAAAAAGATAAATAACCCAGTTTTTAAAAAGGGCAAATACACTAAGTAGACATTTCTCTAATGAAGAGATACAAATTGCCAGTAAGCACATGAACAATTAACATCACTGGCCATCAGGGAAATGGAAATCAGAGCCACATTGAGAAACCACTTTACACAAACTAGGATGGTTATAATCAAAAGGATAGAAAATAAGTATTGATAAGTATTGGTGAGGATGTGAATAAATTGGAACACTATACATTTCTTTCTGGAGGTAATATAAAGTGATGAAGCTACTCTGTACAGCAGTGTACAGAGTACACTGCTTTAACCTCTCAAAAGGTTAAACCTCTCAAAAGGTTAAACATAACCTTATCACATGACCCAAAAATTCTACTAGCTATATTATCAAGAGAAGTAAAAACATGTCTACACAAAAATATGTACATAAATATTCATAGGAGCGTTTTTATAACAAACAAAAACAGAGGTGACCATTAAATGATATCCATTGAAAGAAAAGTGGATAAACAAAATGTGTTATAACCATACAATAAGTTATTCCACCATAAAAATGAGAATGTACGGCATGGATGAACAAGTTACAGCATGGATGAAATTTGAAAATTATTATGTTAAATTTAAAAAGTCATAAAGAATGCTTATTATGATTCCATTTATAGAAATATCCAGAATAGGCAGATCTATTAAGACAGAAAGTAGATTAGTGGTTGCCTAGTACTGGGAATGAGGTGGAGAGATACTGTTAATGGGCAAGTTGTTTCTTTATGGGGTGATGAAAATGTTCTAAAATTTATTGTGGTAGTGTTTGTGCAACATTGTGAATAAACTAAGAAAGCACTGAATTGTACACTTAAAGTGAATACATTCTATAGTTTGTGAACTCTATCTCGACAAAGATGCCATAAAAAATTAATGATGTTTTAAAACACCTACACAAGAAATACAAGTATGTCAAATATACACATACTTGGAAAAAATAATTATATGATCATGATTTTTCTATTAATGCTAATGTGGAAAATTTAAAAACACAAGACTGTCAGGGTGTGGTGGCTCACACCTGTAATCCCAGCATTTTGGGAGGCTAAGGCAGGCAGATCATGAGGTCAAGGGATCAAGACCATCCTGGCCAACATGGTGAAACCCCATCCTTACTAAAAATACAAAAATTAACTATGCTTGGTGGTGCGTGCCTGTAGTCCCAGCTACTCAGGAGGTTGAGGCAAGAGGATCACTTGAACTTGGGAGGCGGAGGTTGCAGTGAGCTGAGATTACGCCACTGCACTCCAGCCTGGCAACAGAGTGAGACTCCATCTCAAAAAACAATAATCATAATAATAAAACACAAGACCTTTTATTTTTGTACAATTGTTATTATTAGCAAAAGACAATAAAGCAAAAGCTAAAGTGATTTGCAATGACATCTGAGCTCATGCAAAAGCTCAAGAGAGTTTTCAGAACATGATGTCAGTTCCCTAAGGTTAATACCTCAGGGCATTAGTTGTGGGGTGTTTTCATTAATATTGTGATATGCAACCAGAGAAAAGGAAATGTATTAACATCTGACATTAACTAAAGAAAGTGATTTATATCACTCTAATTATATAACATTATGCATAAGATGACAACCAAACAGTGCAAGGTCAATGATTTGAGAAAGAATGGAGGCAAAGACAATGATTGCAGAGGTAATCAAAACAAAAAAAAAATGCTGATAAATATATAGAACCCTGTGAACAATTCCAGAGAACTTGACTTTGTCTCAAAGACCTTTGTGCTAATTTTATTATAAACACTTGAGGTCACTAAGTTAAATCAACATGATACACATCTGTATTTTATTAATTCGTGATGATATGCACTGAATTGAAACTTATTAATATAAAGTGTCTAGTTCTCAAAGAATGTTGAAAGGTAAAATAGAACAATTAAAATTAAGCATCCATGAAATTACCTTAGACATTCATATTGAAATAATACTAAATAGTTGTTTAAAGTATAATATTAAAACATATATGAAAAAAAGTGAGGGAAGTTCAGTTACAGTTCCACAATTTCACCTTTCCAACACATATATTCTTCTATTTTTTCTACTGGGATCTATACCACCCTCTTCATAATATTGTATTTCATAAACAGAAGGTATAAAAATTAAGTTACTATATAGGTTAGTTAGATTTACATCATTTGCTATGATATGATATTGCATTAGCATAAAACACTTCTTTAAAATGTCCTCTCATACAATTTTAGACTAAATTTGTAGGTACAAGTTTCATCATGGAGAGTCTATGATTTTTTCAAATAACAAACTAAGTAATATTACCCAAATTATATTTAAAACAATAGTACACAGACATGCAGTCTTAGTAAGAAATATTCATTAAATATTCTGTTCTGAAAATGAAACCCATTTTCAAGTAAATTTGAAGAAGATTCTATTAAATTGGTGCTTGTTATAATACAGAACTAAAATAAATATTACCTTATTTCTTAAGAGGTCATACAAGGATCAGACTTCTCTTATAGTAAAGGAAAGAATGCTATTCTACCTGAGTCATCAGGAAAAAGGTAGCCTAGCTTAATATTTTATAAACAGTAAATGTTTCAAAGGAAAAAGCTTTTTTTTTACACCAGTGCCAACAACATCTTAAGTTTCAAGCACAACTAAAAATACAGTGGCTATTACTCTTATGTCAATAATAGTAAGAATAAAAGTGAGAGGGGGACTTTGAGAAGATAACTACAAGGGAAAAAGTATTTTTAATAAAGCCATAAAAGCAACAATAAACTGTGATCAGCAGCAACATGAAAAAGGTCCCTGGTAGTAATTAAAGGACATCATCTATTGAGTTTGAGTTGGAGACTTGAATCAGGACTGCTAATAAACTTATCATTCCTAATCATTTAAGACGTTTCTCTCCATTTGTGAAGTTAATCAGCCAATCATATATTTGACAGAAAAATAAAGATTTGGGCCACTTCTCTAAATCGAACACCATCCTACTTAAATTTACGAAATCCAACTTAGCTAAAAACTGTAGAAAGAATGAGTAGAAAAGGGTGAAATAAATGTGTGGAATATGGGTATGAAAATTGAGGAAAACATCCTTATAAATATGCAATTTTCTCATGAACAACAACTTAAACAAAATTGTATTTAATATTTAAATAATTGAAAATTACGGGTGACAAAAATAGTTCTAATGATCAGGAGTCTATTTCAATAAATACAGTATTAGTGAGTCAACAGTGGCCCTCAGTCAATCCACGGGTGCTCTGGTAGAACAAGAAGTAGAATCTTCTCAATTTATTTTAATTATGTAATAAAAGGCAACAATTTTTGATTAAAAAACTGTAGCAGAAATAGAGATCCTGGAGTAAGTAAAATAATAACCTTTATTAAGTATATAAAGCCGAGGGTAAAAAGTAATTTCAACATCTCTTCTAGTCCCCAATTTTTTTGATTGAGTTCATGTCAATTGGTTGACTTCATACTTTAAATTTATAAAACACATTTTAAGATTTTCTTAGGGACCTAAAACTTTTTCATATACCCCTGCCTTTGCTTCTTGATTTTCATGGATTTATTTGTATCTTTCTACCTGATTGTATGGCCCCAAATTGTTGATATAATCCTTTTGTATGGATAAAGTTAAGGCCATGCCATCCCCAAATATGCAAATTTGGCATATCAATTACTTCAGGCTGAAGGTATTTGAGAGACAGTGGATATAGAAAGAGCTGTTTGACCCCTCCTCTTCCACCTGCACCAGGCCGTAAGAATTCTTTTGAGAAAAGTGCTATTCCTTTCTCAAAGAAGAAAATAAATAACCCTTATCACCAGAGACAGGGAATTGATGCTGCAATGGATCCATACAATTAATAAAGTAACCCTTATCTTCTACTAGTTTTACAATGCACCCCCCCACCACCGCCATATATCTCCTAGTGACATCCCCACAATGTATTGCCCCCCAGCCCAAACCCTTTTGTCTTTCATTTATTCAAGAATTGTTGGTGTCTCTCTCTAAAAGATATAAAAGCTTTCTGCTTTGACCATTTCATTAGTCCTCACTCTCTTGTGAGGCTCCCTATGCACATGTAAAAATTACCAAAAGACACATTAAAAAATGCCCATCATCACTGGCCATCAGAGAAATGCAAATCAAAACCACAATGAGATACCATCTCACACCAGTTAGAATGGCAATCATTAAAAAGTCAGGAAACAACAGGTGCTGGAGAGGATGTGGAGAAAGAGGAACACTTTTACACTGTTGGTGGGACTGTAAACTAGTTCAACCATTGTGGAAGTCAGTGTGCTGATTCCTCAGGGATCTAGAACTAGAAACACCATTTGTCCCAGCAATCTCATTACTGGGTATATACCCAAAGGATTATAAATCATGCTGCTATAAAGACACATGCACATGTATGTTTATTGCAGCACTATTCACAATAGCAAAGACTTGGAACCAACCCAGATGTCCAACAATGATAGACTGGATTAAGAAAATGTGGCACATATACACCATGGAATACTATGCAGCCATAAAAAATGACGAGTTCATGTCCTTTGTAGGGACATAGATGAAGCTGGAAACCATCATTCTCAGCAAACTATCGCAAGGACAAAAAACCAAACACCAGATGTTCTCACTCATAGGTGGGAATTGAACAATGAGAACACATGGACACAGGAAGGGGAACATCACACACCGGGGACTGTTGTGGGGTGGGGGGAGTGGGGAGGGATAGCATTTGGAGATATACCTAATGTTAAATGACGAGTTAATGGGTACAGCACACCAACACGGCACATGTATACATATGTAACTCATCTGCACGTTGTGCACATGTACCCTAAAACTTAAAGTATAATAAAAATAAATAAATAAAAAGTAACATCCAGCATAAAAAAAATTAACAAACATAATGGTAATGAAAGAATAATGCATATAGCACCACATCAGATACATATTGTATGATTTTTCCTTTTATTCTGTCTTATGTCAACTTAATTCTTAGACCCAGCCAAAGATCCTAAGGAGGTAGAAAGAGAATATATTCTTCTCCCCAACAGCTTATTTGTTCCTATTTTAAAATATTATCCAGATTTTCTGCCAGCCTGCAAATTATCAAGTCAGCCCCATCCGATGACCTAGTGTTTGCATTGTTAAGTCTCAATACACAGATATTTCAAATGCTTACTCTTAAAGTGTGAAATGCTGAAAACTGCAGGAAAATGGCAAAACCTTTTAATTGCTACAAACTTTGTTTTATACAGTAGAATCATGTACTTGGTGACAGCAACAATTTTCATCTCTTCCTATACATTCAATTTCATAATTAAATTTGTTGCTATAAGGCAGGTTCACCATTTAAAGATTTCTTTCTGACGTGGTGCCACAGGCATTGTTCTTTTATTACTTTGAAACGAGTTGATGACCAAGTGTAAAAGCATTTTGTAGCCAGAGTGGCAATAAAGCAATAATCTGGAGATAGCCCAAAAGATTACATGGCAGCTACAAAGAGTGGCCGACATTCACATATGATAGAAATGCTCGATTTTGTTCAAGTAATTTTTGAAAGAACACCATTCATATACACTAAGAAGTTCTTTGGGTCAAGTTGAAGATTCTCTTGAAAACTGCTTCAATACTCTTGCTTGAATCGTCAAAAAAAATGCGGAAGATTGGATAACTGCTACAATTATAGTTTTAACATGATATGTTTAGATTAGAGAAGGTATATCTCACAAATTACGGTATGTTTAATAGGGGGAAAGCTTAGATTAGATCCACTAATCATGAAAAACTTCTACCTTAGAAATATTTTTACAGTCACCAAAGTCTTTTTAGTAGTACTCTATTTCAGGCTACAAATCCATGGGATGCCTCTATCCTTCTGATTTAACTTTATAGTCAGTTCAACACTTTCTTTTAGAGGAATATCATAGAATTTAAAACAATTTCTGTTAAGAAAACTGTAATATGAGTCTGGTATACCAATACATATCCATTAGTAAGTGGTAACAGATGATCTGCCAGACATGAGAAATATTACTGACCCTAGCCAGCCTTAGTTGAAAACATTTAACATTCCTTTATTCAACTTTAAGGATGTAAAGATGCTATATGGTTTTTGAAGAAAAGAAAATACGCTTGTAATATTCCTGGTGGCCTGTTTGTAAACTAAAATTTAAAACATAGTAATTTGACTTATTGCACAGAACTTAATTATCCCAATAACAGCCGCCCCCACACCCCCACCCCACCACGCAGACTAATTTCAGATTTTGTGCTTCTGTAAAATTGGACAATATGGACATGCCAATAATACTGCTGAAATAGAGTAGACTGGATGGAAAAAACGATTCTTATTTTTATTATTTTTATTTCTATAATTAACTAGGAAGTTATCAAAGGTAAACCAGTACTGCCTGCCACATCAGATTCTATCAGAATAGTTTATAATAATAAGGTGCTAACATTAAGATTTCTTTATTACATCAAGAACAAGATAGGTGCCACAACTTTAGTCACAGGGAATTTCCATGTTTTTGTTTTTGTTTTGTTTTGTTTTTTGAGATGGAGTTTCGCTCTTCTGCCCAGACTGGAATGCAGTGGCGCGATCTCGGCTCACTGCAACCTCCACCTTCCGGTTTCAAGCGATTCTCCTGCCTCAGCCTCCCGAGCAGCTGGGATTACAGCTGCCCATCACCACGCCCAGCTAATTTTTGTATTTTTAGTAGAGATGGGGTTTCACCATGTTGGCCCGGCTGGTCTCAAACTCCTGATCTCGTGATCTGCCCACCTCAGCTTCCCAAAGTGCTGGGATTACAGGCGTAAGCCACCTTGCCTGGCTGTCATTGGGAATTTCTACTTTGCATTCTGGTTTTTGTTTTTTCTTTTAATCAGACAAAGCCTAGAAGAATATGTATATCTGGATCTGTATATTTCAACAGGTAGTTAAAATGGGAGATGACGACTAGTTTTAATTCTAAACCTTTTAACTTCTTAATGATAGAGTTAAATTCATCTCAAGAGGAATTTCTGAGGGATTCTTTAGGGGTCTCTGCATCTATCAGTGGACTGACAGGTGTCCTCCAAACAATTAGGACTAATTAGCATTTTGTTGACTATATTGAATTGGGAGCACTGCAAAAAACACTGAATGGCCGTATAAATGATTATCTCACCCTTGGAATTTTCTTTGCCAAAAGAGAGATAACATGCACTGTGGAGAAGCATGAAAAAGGGAAAATGGCTTTATTCCATGATGATTGTCTTGAGTTTACCTCTTGTAAGGAAGACAAAACATTATATCAAATTGTGTTTGATTCAGACTAGAATCCCATCTGTGGCAGCTACCATATACTGAGAATCTGTTTTAAATCCTTTACATGACTTACCTGGTAGCCTCAGAAAAATCTTACAACATACACACATATTTACCCATAAGAAGCTGATATTTGACAGGATGATTAACTTACCTAAAGTCACAGAAAGAGCAAAGCCCAACCCTTGGCTATCTTACTGCAAAGCGCTTTGCTCTTCCATGACACCTTGCTGCCTTTGCATTTATCCTGTATTTTCTAAGGACAATTTATTTATTGAAGATTTTATTTATGAAAATGGAATATCCTAATGAATTATATGGTAATTAATTTTCTTATTTCTAACTTTATGAAAAATCCTACCTTTACATTTATTTTTATGAATCAATGTAATTTTGAGAATCTGCTATGTGCCAATCAGTGCACCAGGTAGGCCCTAAGAAAACAGGGTAATTAAAACAGGCCCTGCTCTCAAAGGAATAATTGGCAGTATATATTTATGTAAATTTTTAAATCTATTTCTGATTATTTGTACTAATTATCAAGCTATATCTCGAGTTTGCTACAGTTATGGAAAGTTAATTGACTTAGTGGATTATTAATAAACGCAGGGTCTAAGTTACTTCTGATTTTGAAATTTTGAGAGAAAATAAGGAAAAGATTATCACAGATTGCAGAAATCTCAGTATTAAAATTTGTCAAGAAGTAGATTTGGTGATAGCAAAAAGAGAAGATTTTATAAAAATTATCCTGAAATTATTTCAGTGTTGATTATTTAAATTTGTATTTGTTAATAGTACGTTACACAGATATTCTCCTCAAAACAAATTGGTAGTAACCAGTATTACATACAATATGACTACCTTTATCTTTAACTTTTAAAAGAAATCACAGATTGCATCGTAGTTCTAGCACAACACTGAAGATATACAACTTACTATTAAGGTTGCTATATTTTATTGTAAAAAGTCAATTTATATGAGAACATATTTTATAATTTTGGCTTTGTAGATAAGAGTAATGGAGATATTAAGCCAGTGCATATGACTTGCAAAGCTGTTACCTCCCTGGTCTAGTTATTTCACACAAGACCACATCTGCTCTGGACCTGATGATCAATGACCTTTTGTTTTTTCTTTCTCTTTTAGACAAATGTATCAGTTCAAAACGCAGTTTAGTTTAGAAATAAAATTGTTTTCATTTATAGTGCTCTATCTTCAGAGGTATTAGCATATCAAAAGCTAATAATTAGATTTTAATAATTAAATTCCATCTTAATATAAATTTGTTTTTAAAATGCTTTAGGGGAAAAAGAGTAAGAGAGACTATTTTTTAAAAAGTGTCAAGTGGCACCTACACCAACTTGCCTTTGGAAACTACAAGAGTTTTTAAGGCCATGAAGATAGTTATATGAAATATCTCTACTATTTATGCCATAATATTTTATTATATATTAACTTTTCTGTATCTCTGAAAAATTAAAAAGCAACTTTTGGAAGCCCCCAAATTATAATAAAATGTGGTTTCGGCTGAATTATACACAAGAGGCTGACATTATGGCCAGGCAGCTCAAAGCAGGCTGACATGACAAGAAAGCTATAAACAACATTCTCTGAAATTATTTAGAATAGTCCACATTGATTTCATCATAATGCAAAAATTTCTGGAACAATAACCTTCATTTCAGCTTTCCTTTCTCAGAAGCTCAACCTAAAAATATATGCTTTATTTACAATCAAGATTTTATTAGGAATATTAAGTATAGATATTGGCAACATAAATCCAAAATAATTTTTGTAAGAGACTAATATTTTTGTTCCATCTCTCAATTAACCCAGTTAAAAATATATCAGTATACTTTTCTATGACAGATTAAAAATAAGATAAAGTAACACTTTACCTTTTCTCATCAATACAGTATTTCAATTTTAAAATTATTATGAGTATTTCATATAGTTAGTTCAATGAATCAAATAATGACCTATGATTTTTAAAAAAGAAATTCCAGCCACACACTTTGTACCTCACTTCCCCACTTAACATCTTTAACACTTCCCCTTTCCTCAGAGCCTAATGTAGGGTTATTATAATTTTTAAATTAAGTCAGTGGTCAAAGTTTACATTTTCACAACTATGTACATACTGCTCACTGCTGAGCCATATAGTCTATCACTTTTTCTTTCTTGTGCAAATTTGTGTTTTGCTATTGATTTTGAACTTGTTTTAAAATTTATATCATTCTTGTGATATATATAATCATTATTTTTTCCAAATGTATTAAAAAACTTCCAAACCTATCAATATCATCAAAATGGTCATTAAATACAAAGCTAAACCTTTGTTACCTTCCCTGGTTACCTCCCTTGGAGTTAACATTATCCTGGGACCATGCTTGGTTATTTTCCAGTGATGAATTCCCAAGTTCTTTCTTTTCTTTTAGTTCTGTGTGTGTTTGTGTGTGTGTATGTATGCATAGTCTCTAGTCAGTTCCTAAGAAATGATAATTAAAAGAAAATGTGATGCTTTTTATCTCTGACATGTCTTTATCTTATTCCATCTTTAATAGATAAATTAAATGGGTATAGATTTCTAATTCAAGATCATCTTCCTTAGGATTTTTGAAGTTATTTCTCTACTGAGTGGACATATGAAAAGCACTTGAAACCAAATTCTCACATACTTTACTTTTGGGATATGTTTAGTATTTCCTAGATAATTCGTGTAACTTTTTTTCTTAATTTTATTAAAATTCTTAAGACTATTAAATGTGTAAAGGACCTCTTGAATGTATCCTCAAAGATCTACATTTTTTATAAATGTTTATGTGACTTTACCTTAGTCTCCCATTGCATTTGTGGTATTTCAAAATATTACAATAATTTTACTTTTATTTCTTTTTATTTATATTTTTGTTTTATATAAGTATTGGTTTCATTCAACTCTTTGGAGAAATCAACTGTATAGCTGGCTCGTGAACAACACGGGTTCATTGATACCGAGATTTTTTTTTCAACAAAAGTTACACCAAGTGTGCCTGCCTCTCCTTCTTCGCCTTCCATCTTCTCCATCTCTTATGCCTCTGCCACTCCTAAAACAGGAAGACCAATCCATCTTCTTCCTCCTCCTCCTCAGCCTACTCAACGTGAAGACAAGGATGAAGATCTTTATGACGATCCACTTTATGAAAAGTAAATACATTTTTCTCTTATGACTTTTAAATAATATATTTTCTCTAGCTTAGTTTATTGGAAGTATACAATACATAATACATATGACACACAAAATGTGTTAATCAAATTTATGGTATTGGTAAGGCTTCTGCTCAACAGTAGGCTATCAGTAGTTAAGTTCTGTGGAAGTCAAAAATTATACCTTATTTATTACCTATTGTACCACTGTGTGAAAACATCACATGCCCCTCATAAGTATATACAATTATTAGCCACAAGCATTAAAAATTAAGAAAAAAATTAAGTTATACATGAATTTTTTTTACTGTGTTGGGGTTGGGGGCACCAATATAGTTCAAGGGTGAACTATATTACCTCTAGTATTTGTTTTCATTTTTGCTTTGGCATTTTCTTCTACTTTATTATATTGGTTATTACCAAGTTTCGTTTTTCTGTCTCTTTTGATAACTGTCTTTCACATGATAGCTTTCCTCAGATTCCTGGTGATCTTTGGCTCTGTTTACATTTAAGAAAGGAGACCATAATAGATAATGACACACCCTTGACGAGACAGGAACTTGTAGACTGACAGCTTTACTGAAGGGGACACTGAGTTAGGCAATGTTTCCTTCTGCGAAATACCATGTCACTTTCTGGAGAACTATTCTTTGGGGCCCTCTAGATTATCTGGGGAATATTCACCTAATCCTATGGCCACATTGGGTGGCTGTTTTTTTGTTTGCGTTTTTCAATGGCTGGCTGCAGGTCACTGGTAAGCAAAGCAAAGAAAGGGGCCTGGAAAGCAATGTTCAATCTGTAGACATTAAATCACTCTACCAAGTGGTAGATTTACTTTCACCCTCCACTTTGGTATTTCCGTGTCCAGAGACTTTACTATTCAATGTTTTCACACAGACACAAGATTCCTCCTCTGTTTCAGAAAGGGGCAGAAGGAAGACAAGGAAAGTATTTGCCTGTTTACTCAAGGCTGAGGAGGAGACCTGGATTTTAATGTCTCAGTGTACTGACTTTCAACAGTTTCTATTGCTTGTAGGTTTCCAAGGTAACTGGCCCCAGTTCAGGGACTTTCTGGGGTCTTCTAGTTGAGCATACGGGTTACTTCTATTAAAGTTCTGCTTGTTGCAGCCAGGTACGGTGGCTCACGCCTGCAATCGCAGGACTTTGGGAGGCTGAGGCAGATGGATCGCCTGAGATCACAAGTTTGAGACCAGCCTGGCCAACATAGTGAAAACCCATCTCTACTAAAAATGCAAAAAATCAGCTGGGTGTGATGGCCAGCGCCTGTAATCCCAGCTGCTCGGGAGACTGGGGAAGGAGAATCGCTTGAACCCAGGAGGCAGAGGTGGCAGTGACCGAGATCAGTGAGTGAAACTCCACCTCAAAAAAAAAAAGAAAAAAAGAAAAAAAAAAGTTCTGCTTGTTTCTCAGTCACTACTCTGAGTCTCTCATATGCTCTGTTCCCATTGTGTTTTTCATTTTACTTCTTGGTCAACTGTGTACCATTTTTGTGTGCTTTTCAGGAGTTAGAAGAAGATAAATTATGTCTGACTAGTCTGCCATAATTACTCAAAAGTTGTAGTATTAAAGTTGTAGGTGTATAACTAATTGAGCAAATAACCATATAAAGAAGAATCTCTGAAAATGTTAACATGGAGAAAGGATATATATCCAGACACACGATTGTTGTTCTCTTATATACTCCCTTGACAATTCTGTCAAAGTTTAAATAAAAATGAACTGGAATGTATTAGTGTGTTTTCACACTGCTATAAACTCCCCGAGACTGGGTAATGTATAAAGAAAAGTGATTTAATTGACTCACAGTTCTGCATGGCTGGGGTGGACTCATGAAACTTACAATCATGGTGGAAGGCAAAGGGGAAGCAAGGCACATATTACTTTGTGGCAGGAGAGAGAGAGCAAGAGGGGAAGTGCCACACTCTTAAGCCATCAGATCTTGTGAGAACTCATTTTCCTGATAACAGCAAGGGGAAATCCACCTCCATGATCCAATCACCTCCCACTAGGCCTCTCCTCTGACAAGTGGGGTTTAGAATTCAAGATAAGATTTAGGTGGGGACACAGAGCCAAACCATATCAGGAACTGATGGTTCTCCATGTTTTCTTTATTTTTGGAATTTTATTCAGGATCTTGACGTTCAGCTAATGCCTCATAGTTACCAGTTAGAGTGGAGGAATTTTCAAAGAAATAAAGAAAAAAAAGACATAAAACTGGGCCTTTGAAAAAGTTTATAAAGGGCATTTTTTTTTTGGAAGAATTTAAGATTGGCTTTAGAACTCTAACTTGAGTTCATATTATGATGCATGTACAAATTCATGCATATATATTTGAAAAATAATTCGATTCTCTGGAGTAAGCTTTGCTCCCTTTTATATGTATCCAGAAAGCTGGCAAAAGCTCATGTATGTTATTTCAGGTCAATTAATCACAATTATTGGACTGCATTAATCATTTATAAAAGACTAAATTGCTTAAAATTCAACTGCTATATTTTCAACACTTCCCCTCAGATATTCTAAGTTTTTGTATAGCTCCTGAGGTCAGACGGAAATTACAAAGTCACATCTATTTTAATGGCATTCTTATCAAAAACCACTTAATGTGGTATATGCACTTTCACTGAACTCAAAGGCATAAGCCATTCAGAAACCAAGCAGCTCTGGGTGGCACAAAAACAATAAAACAATTCTACACATTCAAATAGCTTAAAATGAAATAGAAGAGGTGATGTGCATACACAACTATAATATAAGGTCGATTAATGCCATAAATTAATCAAACTGAATAATTCAGATAATCAAAGTCAAGATATTCCAGAGCCATTTCCAGCCAGGAACAATAAGGAAATCAGGGATCATCTTGAGCAAGGTTTCATCCTGGCCAAGCACTGAAAAGTTACTCAATAGGCTATGGGGCAACAGGTGGTATGGGGCTAGGAAACCATGTCAGCAAAGGTATAGAAGATGGAAAGTGAAACTGACAAAACTAGCTTCTAAGGATAGTGCTGTGCCATGGGTCCCAAGACTGCCTCCAGGCTTGGTGATTTGCTAGGACTATAGGACTCAGTATACAGCTGTACTCATAGTGATGATATATTACTGCAACAAACCTAAAAAGTAAAAATCAGTAAAGAGAAAAGGTACATGAGGCAAAGTCTGTAAGAAACCAGGCACAAGCTTCTAAGAGTCCTCTTCTGGGAGAGCCACAAAGGATGTGCTAATTCCTCCAGCACTCGAATTTGGACAACATGTGTGAAATATTATCTACAAGGGAAGCTTGCCTAAGCCTATGAGTCAAGGTTGTGGTTGTGGAACTGTCATTTAGACACCCTCTGCCTAGTACATACCCAAATTCCAGACTATCTGAAAATGAAAAACAAAAAAGCAGATGTTCAGCATAAACCACAATGTTTGTACAAGTAGTTTTGGTGAGTGAGCCACTCTTATCAGCTTTGGGAATGGTGGACCCTATTGAAATCCGTTAACAGAAGACAGGCAAGGGCCAGCCTTGCAGGCAGGCCTGTTTCTGAGGACAGCAGTCTCAGGCCTGCTGTGTTAATTCTCGTTTGTACAATTACTAACTACAGAATACAGTTGAGAGTTACAAATCCAAAAGTTTCCTGAAGCTTTAAATCTTATCTAGTTTTGATACAACTTTGAAGAATTGACAAGAAAACTTCCTGTTCCGCCACAATAGAATTACCTAAGGCTTCATTTATTATTCTCCGTTGTTCTAAGGAGAAGAGAGAGGTTGGTTCAACAATAACATTACCAATGTTATTGCTATTCTGATGGCCTGACTAGTACATTCAGTTTACTTTTGTATTAGCTTTTCTTTAATAGTGCAGAAAGTTCTTTTAGAGTTCAGGTTTTTCTTTAAACAATAATTCTAAGTCACCATAATCTTTCATTTATGCATTGTGTTTTGTTTCAAATAAGAAAACAGTTTTTATAGTGTTGTTAAAACAGGGTTTGATCAAGTTTCAACATGCGTGTATACTAGATGCTTATTTTTTCAACATGCCATAAATTGCTTCACTAATACATTTCTGTTTTGCTCATTTATTTCCTCTTATATTCTTGGAATGAGAATTCATGCACAAATTTCATGCAAAATGCTTCTCAGCGGTAAGGCCAAGCTGAAAATGAAATGCCCTTTACAAAACATTTTGTTGACTTAAGAAGGTTTTATTGTTATTTGCTTTTTGTTCCTTAAAAGTTTGATCTTTTATGAACTGCAAATATGCTATTATCAAAGCCAGCTTTTGTTAAATATAAAAAAGCTAGTTTCTTACAAACTTATCCTTTTATCCCAATTTTTACCACCACCCTGAGTCATAATTATACTAAGTGAAGCATCCAAAGGTTTTGAAAAAAAAAAATCAATGAGGTTTCATCTTTTTATATCATATGCTGATCACTTGAAACATACTTTCTATCATAAGAAATATAACCCAATTGTAGAAGTTGTATTTTTGCAAACAAATGGTGAGTAAAGCAAACTATAAAAAATAGTACACAAAAGCAGCATTATTTCCCTAAATAGCTAGTTATAAATTGTTCTGCTGATAGAAGACCCCTGAAGCTTTTTAAGGATAAAGTTCTGTCACTAATAATAAAGCACAACTGTGAAAGAATGGTTGAACCCGATGTTAAATCAAATTTATTTTATCTCCAGAATAGGGTGGGAATATTTTCAGCTAAAATTACTAGGGTGTAGCTAACATGATTATCATTTCCATGTGTTAAACAGCAGAGTAAGAAGCCTTTCAAGTTTCCTAAGTCCAACTTCCATAAAACAGAATTGCTTTGAGGTCAAGTGTAAACTCGTTTATGCTATTAATATTCATCGTAAAAGAAAATTGTCATTTTTTTAGGTTCAGCAATAGGTTCTAATTGTCACATTTCCTGTAAAAATAAATGATCTCTTATGAACAAAGAAAAAATGTGGATGAAATAAAATTATATTCGGGATTATAGTCCTCATAAAAAATCTATAAATACTACCCCATAAAATATTTTTCAATAAACCTAAAACAACTTAATTTTGTATACAGCATGAAAACATATTCTGCAGCCCAATAGCTGGTACATACTGATATTTGCCATCAAACTATTATAATTTATTTGTTGAATGAATACATGCTAATTTTGTCATAAAAATGCTAAATGTTATATTTGAGAAATGATTTTAAACTATTAATTAGCAATGCTATTAATATTTGAAATTCTTGAAATCCTATGAGAATAACTGAGAAACACTTAAAATAAAATATTCTTAAATCGGGGCGTATTATCCAACTAGGATCAAATCATGAAAGAAAATAAGGGAGGATTACAGAAAAGAACCACACACACACCCCAAAGAAAAACAAAGGTGGAGACACAAAGACATTCCTGACAAATCTTAAGGATGGCAAGAAAAAATACAACAGTGAAAGAAATAGAAGAAATTGTTTTGTGTCTGTGCGAACTTGCTTCACTTCTTAGTTTTCCTCTAATGTTCCTGATAGTTTTGAATTATCACTTTCTTCTTTGACCATCTGTTGTCTCTGCTTCAGTGTTTTTTCTTAATTTACTGTAATTAAACTTCTCTAATTTCTATCGTCTCAGTTTATGTGCATCTCTGTGTTTAATCAACAATTTCAGATGCATCAAATAAGTAGTACAATCACTCAACTGTAAAAACAATTTTAAGGTGTTTTTATAACCAGTTATTTAGTGTTATTTTTGCCTCCCATCTTCCCCTTTTTAACCTGGTGGGTTCAGTGACGACAATAGTCTGGTCCTCCTGTGCTCTGAGGGCTTTTGTCACCCTGTGACACAGTGGCACATGATGCCTACAGATTATAGAATTGATCGGAGATACCGCAGGAAGATAACTACTTTGGTACAAAGGAAGTGCTGCTACACTGCACAGATTAGTCCTGGGAAAACAAAAAGAGATAAGAAAGTTCCCACCAGCAAAAGGTCAAGAATCCAACTCATTCACACCCAACACTCAAATATCATGCAATTCGTAAAATGTCTCTGCTTAACTGCTGTTAAAGTTAGATTATAACTGTATAATACTAACAGTAGAAAGTCTATTATATTGTCCAAGTTTATAATTTAAATGTATATTGTCATTTTTCTCTAGGGAGTTTAAAGAGATATATCTTATTAGCAAGAACGTAATTGTTCTTGAGTCGTACGAAAAAATGCAGAGGGAGCCTGAGAGCTGGATTCTAGTGATTCTTTACAATGAAGAAAGGTTGCATTGCACTTAATGGAAAAAAAATAGGAAAAACATGGATATTGTTGGCGTGCACTTTGCGCAAGAAGAATAAGCAGAAAAGGTTTGATTCTGGGGTATCATTTGTGGACAGAACTTTAGGGTTTAAATGGCCTCCAGATCCCCACCAAATGCCTATGCCAGTGGGAGCAAAATTGAAGTCATGGGAGCTTAGGGAGAGGAAGTGGCCCATGTGGGAGAGGGTGTTGGGAAAACATAGGATCCTGTCTTGATAAACTGACTTTCATCTCTACAATTCCTAACTCTACTTTGAGGAATATGCCAGAGCCCAAACTAATAAATTTAACAACACTATGATTGCTGAGAAGAGAGAGGGCTTATTTTATTCAGCTTTATAGTAATGCCTCTTAGCATCAACACCATACACTGTATATGATAAGACAAAGCAATAGAAAGTTGGATGAACTATAGCGTATTTTCAGAAAACGCTCAGTCTGATTGGCCAAAATAATGGAAACATTCTAAGAAATTAGATAGCATTCTACCCTTGGATAGTCACAAAATTAATTATTTCCCAATTGTAAATTGACCCTAGCAGTATAGGGCAGAAGTTTATTAACTAGCAAGTCCTCTGAGACAGACATCAGGGACTTCTAGCTTTTGCCATGAGTTGAGTGACCACCCCTCTCCTGTTTGAGCAGAAGGCTGGGTGTTTTCTATCCAGACAGGTTGAACCACAAACGCTCTGAACTGAGGTACATCCCTCCCCAAACAGAGGAAATGGGAGTCTTTCTCTCTGGGGAAATACACAACCTCCACCCCTCACAAAAAAGGCTTATGAACAGTGACATTAAAGAGTCTACAACAGAAATATCAACATATGAACAATCAAAAACCCATGTAAACAGAGATTTTTGATCAATTTTAGTGTCCAATTTTTATATATGAATAAATGTATTACCAGACATGAAAAGAAAGTCATTATCATTAAAGATAGAAACTCAAAGTAAGATGACAAATGAATTAATGGGAAACAATGAAAATGCAAGAAGTTGAATAAACTTCCTTCAAAATTAATATCTTAAAAGATACACAAATGCTAGACAATAAGTGAATCAGATAGGAAAAAATATTATTTTCTCAATATGTTATTTAAAAATCACAGTCTCTAAATTTGCCTTTCCTGTTGCCTGTATAGTTAAGTTTACTTCCCGATAGTATCCTAGTATACACTTTGAAAATTGCTATCTGTATCTTTGACCTGCCTAGACTTATATTGATTCACTTAATCTTTGTTACAACTCTGTAAATAGATTTTACGCCCAACTTACAGATGAAGAAACTGAGGCATGGAGAGGCTGGGCAAATTCCTAAGGTCAGTGAGTTGCTAACTTTGCAAAAACCAGTGTTTTAACTCAAACATGGTTTCAGATTATCTGTTCTTAGACACTTGTTCTGCTGCCACCCCAATAAAATGTAAACCCCTTAGGGCAGGATTTTTTTTTATCTTTTCTCTTATATATCCAGTACCCAGAAGAGTGGCTACACTAGAGGCTGGTGCTCAAGTATTTATTTATTCAATAAGTAAGGAAAGCAAAAAGAAAAGCACAAAGTATTTACACAGAACACTACTGCATTGAACTGTGAATATTTATATAATTGTAAAAATGTAAACATCAATTATTAATTTAAGCAAAAACTGTCATAATTATAGTGTTACCAGTGGAGGCTGTCCAGGTTCTTGGCAACTTGAACAAAGAATTGGACAAAAAGCACAAACAAAGCAAGGAAAGAATGAAGCAACAAAAGTAGAGATTTATCAAAAATGAAAGTACACACCACCAGGTGGGAGTGGGCCAAGCATAGGGGCTTAAGGAGCCTGATTACAGATTTTCTGGGGTTTAAAAACCCTCTAGAGGTTTCTGATTGGTCACTTGCTTTACACTCTATGTAAATAAAGTAGTGGTCCACAATCAGTCTGATTGGTTGCAGGAGGGGATCAGTCAGAGGCTGAAGCAAAGGTACAAAGTTATACCCTATGCAAACATCTGATTGGTTGTGGAAGGTGACCAATCAGAAGCTAAAGTCAAGTTATACAGTTATACTCCTATGCAAATGAAGACTTGGCCCAGGAGCAGCCTGACTGACTGAGGGAGGGGACAAATGAGAGATACTTTCAATTTCTCATCTGCCATGCAAAAAAAATGGGGGAGGGGGTTGAAAAGGGAGTAGCTTCTGATCCTTGTGTTACTTGGGTGTGGAAAGTAGGGGTTTTCCTTTTGATTTCGTTCTAGGAAGCCAGTGCGAATCGGCCTTAGCTTCCCTGCCTCCAGACCTTTTCTCCTGCCTCAATAGTGGTGTGATGTGGAGAGAGGCAATATGTATGCAGGAATAAGGTAAGAGATCTAAACCCTACACTATAGTAGGAAGGCAGTAGAAAGTGATATAATTGGAAAAATCCAGATATAATGGTATTTTAAGGCTTGTTATTTAAAAATATGGAGGTGAATGCCAGAAGAAACAAAAACATTCAGAAGAATGAGCCTCTTTGCCTCTGATCTAGTAAGTGACACAGTGGGTAGGGATAAGCTATTCCCAAAATGAAGCAGCCTCTCCATCCAGGATGGTTGAACTGGAGAGTCCAAACCCCATACTCAACACAATGGGAGAAAACAGGAGGAAAGCACATAGAAACAGACTGCTTCTCACGGAATGTTGGGATGATTAAAATCAATAGTCATGGAAAGTAGAAGATTATCCATTTATTATGAGCACACTTCCTTTAACGTTGGGCCTGAGGATGATATAATTTTATTGTGGTTTTCAAAGTCAGAGTTAATTTCTGGTTCCAGGTTCTGCCCCCAAAGAGATAGCAAACAAAATTAACAAACTGCTTTAGTGTTCCTGAGAGGTTTTTGCCTAAGGATTGCCTTTCTAATTAAGCCCTCCAACTCTTTAACATGCTAATTTTATCCCTTAGCTTGGAGATGAAGTGGCTTCAGCCGTTATCTGTGAATCACACTACTGGGCTTGATCTACAATTTCGGGAAAGCTGGATTTGAAAAAAATGTTGCTGATTTTTATTAGAGAAACTTAGGTTCTCATACAGCACCAAATTTTTCTAGTGAAGGCGGTTGGGATTTTTATGGACCTTTAAGGTAAAGAAGATTAAAGGAATTCAACAGTGAAGCAGGGGGAGGGGACAAAGGGGCTGAACTGGGTGAAAGAGGAGGTACAAATTCTCTGGAGCACATTTCTGAGTCTTCAGCCTTGAAGGGCATATCATAAAGTGAAGGGAAAACTTTTTTCTTTCTTAATTTTAAAATTAGGGAAAGTTCTAGAAATATTACCTAAAGTAACATCACTTGACCATGTACGTCCAGAAACTAGATGGAAGTGAATGAAGAAATAAAATAGCAAAAGGGAAACTAATCTTACAGAGAATTAAATTCTACTTCCACTAAGTTCATGTAAAGATGAATCCATTTCTTTACAACTTAGGATTCTGAACCTCCAGACATGTCAATTTCTGTTTGGTATAAATTAGGGTAAAGTGAGCAACTGTAGTCCCAGCACTTTGGGAGGCCAAGGGGAGAGGATTGCTTGAGGCCAGGAGTTCAAGACCAACCTGGGCAACATAGCAAGACGCCATCTCTACTAAATTTTTTTTTAAAAATTAGTCAGCCATGGTGGCATATTCCTGTAGTTCTAGCTACTCAGGAGGCTGAGGCAGGAGGACCGCTGGAGCCCAAGAATTAGAGCTCAAGGCTGAAGTGAGTCAAGATCACACCACTGCACTCCAGTCTGGATGACAGAGTGTGACCCTGCCTAAAAAAAAAAAAAAAAAAAAAAAAAGTAGAAATAATACCAGTGCCATGGAATTGCTGGGGTATAAAATATTTATTGTATGTGTTCTCCATGTTGTATTATGGCATATTAGGGTAACTGCATGAGTTATCTGGCATTCTGAATGCAGAAACAGAAGCTAGTCAAGTCTACATCAAGGCAACTGGCCTGTAAAAGCTTGTGATCCTGAATGTTGTTAAAAGAAAAAAAAATATTCAGGGATAATGATGCTTATGAAAGCACAGTAAAGTGGTTCAGAACCATTGCAGTAGATACAGGGACCACTGCTCTGGGATTTTGCACTTGGTGGCGGAGACACGGGGCTCCACTCTGAATACGGCATGGGCAAGTGGGAATTTGTAGCCACAGATTGGAGATGGGACTATCAGCAGATAGAAAGTTACTAGCAGAAAATATCAGGAGTAAGGGGGATTCTGGCTAAACCAATCTGACAGAACTCCTACTGAAGACAGGCCAGGGTGATCAGCTGTCACCTGGGGAAAGGTAGAGGATGAGAAACTGGATAATGAAGGTGAGATGAAGGATGAAGGATTCTTGATAAACTGACTTAGCAGGGTTCTTACTAAAACTGGATTTTACAAGGAAGTGTACAGCTGATATTAGGAGAAGGCTTAGGAGTCTGAAATTTTGTTAAGCAAAGAACCTTGTCAGTACACAGCCATTGGTAGTTAAAAGTATGCTTTCTGTTGAATATGAGTGGCGTAAACTAGTATAGGGAATTTACAACCATTGCGAATGCACTGTTCATGCCTGAAAAACAAATGAGCATACCCTGAGGCACAAGCCATCACTATCTTTAGAGAAGGTGGTAAGTGCAATAGTGAAGACTGCAGGGTCAGAGGGACTGGGCGCTACCCCCACCCTCTTGCCAGCTGTGTGACTGTGGGCAAGTCAGATGACTTTTTTTTTTTTTTTTTTTTTGAGACAAGATCTTCCTCTATCGCCCAGGCTGGAGCCCAGTAGTGCGATCTCAGCTCACTGGAACCTCCACCTCCTGGGTTCAAGTAATTCTCACGCCTCAACCTCTGCAGTAGCTGGGATTACAGGTGTACGCCACCACGCCCAGCTAATCTTTGTATTTTGGTAGAGATGGGGTTTCACCATGTTGGCCAGGCTGGTCTCAAACTCCTGACCTCAGGTGGTCCGCCCACCTTGGCCTCCCAAAGTGCTGGGATTACAGGCATGAGCCACCGCGCCTGGCTTGTGGGTAAGTTAGATGACTTCTGAGTTTCATTCCCCTCATTGGTAAAATGACAATGAAAATACCCAGAGCCTGGCACAGAGTAGCTGCTCTATAAATATTAGCTATCATTATTATCATTTGTGGTTTCTTTTAGTGTCCTTACGAAAGTGGCCTAATTTCCTCTCAGATAGTATCAAGGAACTGAACTTTCCAGATCACCACATCTGGACAATGAGGCATCAGACCCCTGATCTGACTGCCTGCTGCGTGTTGACAAGCTCCTCTATAAACCCCTAACTTTAGTCAGTTGGAGAGATGGATGTGAGGCTTGTCTTCCATCTCCTGTCTCTTGGCTGTTGTTGTTACCTGCAATAAAGTCTGCCTTCCCTGACAATACTCATTGTGTCAATGGGCTTTCTGTGAGGCAAACAACTAGAATCTAGGCTGAACCCCTAGTGTTCAACAACGATTACTCTATTTTTAATCTTGTTTTGCACTTACAGTATTTTGTGTAAGTTCCTGGAAAGGAAGAGCAAGTTTTCACCAGTGACAGTGGAGGATAACTGTAAGGACTTAGGCTAAATTACACTGGTCTGGAAGAACTGCCCGTCTGTATCTCAGGAATGATGTTTTTCTGTCCTTTAGCTTAAAACTGCCTTAGGACTTGGGTTTAGGGAGCTTGTGCCTAGTATTAGATACAGCCTTCTGGGAGGAAGGGCATCCAAACACATTGTTGGAATCCCATTCCCAGACCCTCTCACCATGCACTGTCCTATAAATCATCACATCAAAGCCTGAGCTAAGGAGGGGTGACCAAATTCCCTCAAACGGAGCCCACTGCTGTCCTGGCTAAGCAGGGTCTAACACTAGACCATCAACAAGCACCATCACACACCGTTAACAAACATGAGACTTCTTACGTGGTGCCACTATCCTTACCTTACATGAGTTAAATGAAAACTCTGCTGTAATGGATTTCTAGAGAGCACATTAGAGCCCCAGGACAAGAATGAAACCATGAAGGGCTGTGGTCATCCCTAGGTGAAGGCTTCAGAAAGTATACTGAAGCCCTCAGTAAAGCCTTCATTTTATTTCTAGGTGCTTGCTTTCTAAAACACCTGTGCCCATTTTGTTTGGTGAGCATGAGAATGACATGCCAGTAAGAGATGCAGGGGATAGAGTCACCAGTTCATAATCACTTGTTGATTTCAGATAGAAGCAACCCACACTTATGAAAGACAAGCCACATGAATTATTTTACTTTCTACTTGATTCCTTTGCCAAATAGCAAATGTTGATGTATTAAAATTGCTTTAATTATTCCATTGAATTGTTCCAGCAATCACATTCTCTCAATTAAAAGGGTGATGCAAGATTTTTAAATGGAAATAAACTTGTTCGAGCTGTATAAAAAGATGGAAAAAATATTCTAAATGTTGATAGGAAAAATACCTTGTTGGAAACAGATACTAATGTGTTTTAAGTTACAAAGCTCCTTCATAAGAAGTTTCTGTTTTTGTTTCACTCTGTGTACTTCCACCTCCCTGTTTTTCACATGGATATAATTATTCCTGCTAGCATAATACTTTGTTACTCAGTTAAATCTCCCTTTTAGGGTTTCAAAAACTTAGTGGCTTGAAACAATATGAATTGACTGTGTTACAATTCCAGAGGTCAGAAGTTTGAATAGGTCTCATTGGGTGTGGAGATGAAGATGTAGGCAGAGCTTCATTTCTCTTGGCGGCTCAAGAGCAGAGAGGAATCCATTTCCTTGACATGTCCAGCTTCTCACATTCCTAGGCTCCTGGCCTTCCTCTGTCTTCAAAACCAGCAACAGCCAATTCAGACTTTCTCATGGAGCTGTCTGTCTCTTCTCTCTCTCCCACATTGTAAGGACCTTTATGACTGCATTGGACACCTGCACAATGCAGACTAATCTCAAGGGCAGCTGATTAGCATTATTAATTCCATCTGCAATTTCCTTTGCTGTACAACCTAACATAGTCACAGATTTCCAGGGATTAAGGGAGTCATTATTCTGCCTCTCAGGGGTTGTTGGGAAAGAGAGATGGCACAGGAATACCAGTCTCCCAGTTTTTCCCTCCTTTTGAACCACTTAGGCAAACAGTAGTGCACAAATTCTAGAGGGTATTATTATCAGGGTGGTAGTTGACATCATGGACTAAAGCAGAGTCTTAGTGAATAGTATCTGAAGGCTTAAAGGAGTTAATAGTAAATTATGGACCTAAATCAAGGAGAGTTTTAGAGGCTCAGAGGTTAGTGTTCACAAGGGTGAAATTGGCTTTTTAACAAAATAAGGCTCTTAGGTGGACACTTCAATAATGTTTATAAAGATGAATGAATTAAGTGCCACTGGTCTTCTATAGTGTTTTGCAAAAATGTGGATGAGTTCCTTGCACTTTTTTGACTTTAAAGTCATTTGTAAGAAACTACCAAAATTGAATAAACCAAAAATATTGAATAAGCCCTAAAACAGAAAGTAAGGCAGTATAGAAAAAAATTTATACTTGAGCAGTCCTTGATTTTCACGTGAAGGACAGAGGGTATTGCTATGATAGAAAACAGCTGGGAAGACTCAATATAGTTCAGAACTACTGCAACCCATAAAACAGTTACACTCCTCTAATCATGTATGATTTTCTTTTGTCCTTGATCCTGGCCACACAGAACATACTCTAGGCTCTTGAAAAGAAGAGAATAAACAGCAGATTACAATCAGATACATCAGTAAAATGTTTTTTAAATGGAAATAAAATTTTTATGTCTGTCACAGAAAGTCTCAATAACAATAGTGGGTTAGAAAGTTCTGCCTATATAAGAATCTTACAATACTCTTTATAAGGCACTTGAATCTTCCAGCTTTAACTTCTGAGAGATATAGTCAGATCTATCTAATGAAAGCAGGACTGCAGCAAAAGACTATCAAATGGAATTCAAGGGACTTAAACTATTTAGGAGTTGGGCTTTTTTATTCTCAAGACCATAAAGGAACTCTTTATTATTGTTACTAGGAGAACCAACACAACATTTTTGTTGTGATTTTGGAATGTCACAGATTATTAACTTTTTGATGGAAGTAGTTATAACACCCTCTGCTTTATAAATGTTAGTTTACATAATGGCTCTGACAGATTATACAGTCATTTCAGGGGCAAAGGCAGAAGTTTTAAATTCCTCAGAAGGAATTACTGACTAGATAATGATTGTTGTCAAGCAAGATAAGGCCTCATTTTCTGACAGATTCTCAGAGGTAAGTGTTCCATAGACAGAAAACATAAAAATTTTCTGTTACAAGGCATTCTTTTTTCTCCTATATTTGGGCTGTCCTTCTAGTCACTGCAAGTTATTGTATGAAATAAAATCTGTCTTCCCAAGTTTTCCATTAAAAAAATGATTTGTAAGCTCCGGGAGGATGGAAAGTTTGTCATATATATGTTTGATACAAAGGAAAACACATTGAAAATGTACAATTTACATTAGGCAACAGTAGGGAACATCTGTTAACTAAAGGACATATCTATTATTCAGGGCAATCAAATCAACTATTTGATCATTTGTCTGAGAAACCTGAGCTTTGAGTTCAGAGAGAAATCTCCTCCCTTTCTTCTGGGCTGTTGCAGAGGAGAGCAGAATTGCAGTTTGTATCAACTGGATTCTTGTCAAGATTATTCCCTTTGGTGGTGGCTTGACTGCAGCCAAGAGAAAACTCTTTCACTACCATCCTTGTCTGTCATTGACTGGCTACATTGCCAAGGGATTTTGGTGATAGAGCCTAAGGATGACAGAGTATAGAGATGATACATGCAATGTTTAATTGGTCCAGTGAAGGCACCAACTAATTGGAATAGACATTGGCAACAGCATAGGGTGTGGAGTCCCCTACTCTGCCAGGTAAAGTCTTTAGGTACCGGACCAAAGCAAGGTCCTAATGGAAGAACTAGGGTCACTGCTGTGCCCAGAGGACATTAGTGGAGGTTAAGGCAGCAGCTATTTCTGGATCCAAAGTATCTCAGTGTTTTACCAACTTGCCCATACAAGCTGAATAACAAGCTCTAGAATAAGCAAAGGAAAATTCATTACTACTTAGGGTCCCCCACATCTCCAAACAAAGGTAGATCCATGTTGCAAGCAGTTTAATTTAAACATGTAAGAAGATGGAAATTTCTTCCTCTTTAAGATATTTTGCTCTTTGAAGGACTGTCTTAAGCAATGGAAGAGTTCCAAAGAAATTTAACAAAGCTGCTCATGAATTTTGCTGTTTTCCCTCATTATTACTAATAATAGAAGATTGCTTTTTACATGTTCTAACATGTTGCTAGAAAAAATATACTGTAAATAAAAATACTCATACTTCAGAGCTCTAGACAGTCCTCAGTCCAAATCACGATCCTATCATTTATTACCCCTGTAATCCTGGGCAAACTGCTTCACCTCTATCTGTCTCAGTTTGCATAGCTAGAGGTGAGGCTAATGGTACCTACTTCATAAATGTTCCCTCCCCGGCTTTGATCTCCACCGTCCTGTCTAACTGCATGGCATCCTCTCAGGATAGATTTTCTGGCCATCTCATCTAAAATTGCAATCCAAACATGTCATTGTCTTTTTTTTTTTTTTTTGCTTTATTGTGGCACTTACCACCTGCGGAACAGGGCTCCACCCTTGTGACCCAATCACTTCCCAAAGGCCCCACCTCCAAATACCAACACATTGGGGATTTGGTATCAATCTGTTAATTTGAGGTGAAGACGACAAACATTTTGACTTTTGCAATCAACAGGCCAAAATCTCTGATGCTGTCAGAAAGGCTGCCAGCAGCAGTGGGGATAATTTAGTTCCTGATTCAAATCAATAGGAACAGACGAAACCTTTCTCACATCCATGAGATAAAAATCCTCTCCTTGGATCAGATTGAGCCTATCTAATTCAGGAGCTCCTATCTAATTGAGGAGCTCCTATTATCTAATTCAGGAGTTCTCAAATTTGTGCCTCAGAATCACCTGGAGGGCTTATTAAAATGCAGATTGCTGGGGCTCTCTCCTGAAGTTTCTCACCCAGTAAGTCCCAGATCCTAAGAATTCACATTTCTGTCCCCAGACGATGTTGCTGCTGCTGGACACACTTGGAAAGCCACTTCCTTAGCCAGTATCAGGCTTCAGAGAAAGGTTACAAACTGCTTGGCTAAGGCCAGGTTCTTGAATGAACCAACTCTTGGAAAATTGAGGGCTGGGAGAACCACAGTTGGTTTTGATTTCAGGAACCACCCTTAGAACTGAGGGCAGAATCAACTTCTCCTGACTCATACATGGGTTACATAGACAGGGTGTCAGGAATGAGGAAGAGCAAGATGGATGGATTCTGGATAGGAAATTGGCAGCCAAAAAACACTTTTAATAAAACTGACTTTTAGAAAACATATAAAACACCCATTGTGCTTGTTTGCCTTAAGAGTTCTCAGGACCAAGAATGTAATACCTCAATTCAATAGATATCCTTTCCTTCCAAGCCCTCCCACTTTGCATATACCAAGAATTAGCCATTTTCAAGTGCTTTTCCTCATAAATAAATAAAATCATTTATTTTACTCACCTATTTATTACATGTCTGAGGCCCTGTTTATCCAAGGCAGTAAACACGACTCTGGAAAATCCAATTCAAAATAAAATAACTTCATATTAAAGGAGTTGTTTAAAATTCAGCTGTTTGTGGGGTGGTAGAACCAGTGCCTCAGGATGCATTTAAAAAACAAAAGCCTTCATTACAAGATAGAAGGAAATGAAATCTAAAAGAAAGAAGTAAGCGTGATGTCTGCCTGATTTATTTCATTGCCCTCTTCTCAAAGTCATGCCAACACACACCTGTTTTTTAGTCCATTTTCATTTCTGACTTGAGAAACCAGACTTACTATAGTCAAGAGGAATAATAAAAGCTTATTTCTAGCATGACTCAGAGCTTTTGCTATTCCCTTACATATACATAGTCTGAATACTTTGTTTTATATATGATTTATATTCTACAGATTTTAACTCATCTATACTCCAACAGATCTTAACTGTTATGAATATTTTTATCTATACCATGGTCTCAGTATTCAAAAAAAAATTATGGACCACTGTTATAAATTGTTATTCATATATTATTAGAAACTGGAGAGGTTCACTAGTTCGCCTGAAGATAACAGATAGCTGTAGATAAAAGGAAGTCTAGTGATAACGTTAGTCAATCAAATTTTACATTCAAGAATCAACTATTTTTAGTAATGCTAAAAAGAAAAAACATGAGAACTGAACCCCAATTCTCAAGAAGAATTGTCAAAATTTCCTAAAGCAATTTTTAAAATATCTATTAAGGCACTTAAACATTTTGAGTCATTTAGTAGGAAATCAGAATCCACTATAAAAAAGAAATATACTACAACTTTGAGTCTTTACGGTACTAGAAAAATCAATTAAAATAGGGTCTCATCAATGTAATACTGATAACATGTTAACTATCTGTGATGGTTAATATTGAGTGTCGACTTGATTGGATTGAAGGATGCAAAGTATTGTTCCTAGGTGTGTCTATGAGGGTGTTGCCAAAGGAGATTAACATTTGAGTCAGTGGACTGGGAAAGGCCGATCCACCCTCAATCTGGGTGGGCACAATCTAATCAGCTGCCAGCATGGCTAGAATAAAAGCAGGCAGAAGAACGTGGAAAGACTAGGCTGACTTAGCCTCCCAGCCTACACTTGTCTCCCATGCTGGATGTTTCCTGTCCTGGAACACTGGACTCCAAGCTCTTCATCTTTGGGACTCAGACTGGCATCTTTCCTCCTCAGCTTGCAGATGGCCTATTGTGGGACCTCACCTTGTAATCGTGTGAGTCAATATTCCTTAATAAACTCCCCTTTATATATATATCTATCCTATTAGTTCTGTCCCTCTAGAGAACCCTAATACACTGTCTAACATATGGTGGATGAGAATACAAACATAATTTTGTTTGCATGAGATAATAACTAGACACTATTTTTTTTTTACAGTTAATGCAGTATTCTCACACACATGTTATTTTTATATCTACTGTGTCACAAGGTTGTTGGGAGCATTAACTGTGATTAAACAACTCACAGATTCAGGGGCAAGCTTATTAACAGCAGTCATTAGGCCTTCTGTGGATGTTAGTTCCAATTCTTTATATGCTTTTGCAGTTAGTAGACAACAATTTATTATAATCATTATATACAGGAGAGTGGAGTTCAGCATTTCAATCTCACACTCTGCCACAGGACAGAGGGCAAAGTTGAAACTTAACCCCAATGGTTTAAATAACCACCCTTTTCTTTCTATTTGGTGACCTAATATTCCCACTTGTAATATGGCCTCCAAATTCCTCCCAGATCTAAAATTGTGGCATTTTGTTATGAACATCCTAATTAGTATACAAACAATTCATGATGTTAAGCTCTGACTATGAAGGGATACATCTCTATGTCAAACATTTAATTTAAGGCATTCAGAAATAACTGACAGAGATTTAAGCAATACATCTCATTTTTATGAAGTTTAATTGGAAGTTGTAATATAAATTATGTATAACAGGTAAAAGGAATGTTTCATAATAAAATATAGATTTGTAGTTTCTCTGCTATGTTAATTTGATTTCAAAATCTCAATGTAGCTGCTAACATTACTCTGTATCTAATATTTTAGTTTAGTTTTCACTGTGGTCAGAGAAATACTCTAAGCTATATTTTATGATCCATCATATTATCAATTTGGTAAATATCCTCTGTGAACTTGAAAAGGATGTGCTTTCTGTCATTGTTGGGCTTGATGTTTTATTATTGGGTGCAGCATTCTCTGTGTCAATTAGAACAGATCTATAAATTATGTTTTTAGTCTTATATATGCTTGTTATCCTTTATCTGAAGTTATTGAAAAAGATATGTGAATTCCTGTCTATTTAAGTTTGTGTAAATTTTTGCAAATAAATACAGAAATGTCATGTCATTATGGTAGAGCGACCCTTTCATCTTTATGAAAAATTCCTCTTTATTTCTTTATTGCCTTAAAGTCAACTGTATCTGAAAGCAGTAGTTAAAGCAATTTTCTTTAGTTTTTGCATATTCTATCCTTCCCCATCCTTTTTATTTTTAAGCCTAATAATGTCCTTATATTCAAGATGTTTCTCATAGAGTTGCTTGGCTTATGGACAGCAATTCCAAGATGAATGAACAGTATCCTATTTGGAAGACCTTTGCTGAAAAGCAGGTAAAAATAAACAAACTTAGTGGGATTAATAGAATATGGTTGGCCTCTATATTTGGGTTTTTACTGACTAATGAGTAGTGGCCAACAGCCCACCCATATAGGTCTGGGAGAAAGGGAATGGGAAACCAGCCTAGTAAATGGATACCCATATGGGGCGGGACCCCATGGAAATCACTCTGGAAATTTAAGGGAGAACATTAAAATCAGATATGCCAATGCCATCGGAAGAACCCCGTTCCAAGATCAGAAGGCGACTGGAACCAGGAAGTGGACCTTTTGTTGAACTGGCTTGAGGTGGCCACCTGGGTCCATGAAATGAGTGAACACTCAGGGGCTGCAGGAATGCAGAGAACGGCTGAATTCAGACCTATTCCTCCTGCACCTTCTAGGGCACACAAATGTCAATACAAACTGCTGTCTGCTAACAAGAACGACAGAGGCTACACATGGCTATTCCCTCAGGAGGCAGCTCTGTACATGGGGGACAAGTTTAATTGTTACAAATAGCCCTTGGGAGCTACAAATTGGTCCTAACAGGAATAGGCATTTATTCCGGACTGGACTTGCATACCTAGTGGTAGATAAAAATGTTCAGAGTACTATAAGCGCATCATAATAGAATATATTGCACCAACTTGGACAACCAATTCACAGTTTCTCAGACCAAGAAATTTTACAGGTCATAATGTCTAAGAATGAGTAGACAGATAACCGCAGAGTAATGGTTTGAAAAAGAATTGGAATAGGCAATTAAAACAATTGTCTAAAATAAGAGAAGATGAAGGCAAGAAGGGCTGGATTATATGTCTCTAGCAGTGAATACTCAAATTCAACATGAAGGTGGCCAAGTGAGGTTTCTCAATAGACAGATTCCTTTCTTCCTCTGGAGGATCAGGAGAAGTAGAGGTGGGGAGAATACTGGTCTAACTATATTATGGTGGAGGGAAAAGCAGATAGTGTAGGACTAGACTTTTTTCTTTTCCCCACATGTTCTCAACTTTCTTTTTTTGCTATCCGATGTAGTGGTTTCAGGACTAGGGCTGCAGCTGTGGGTGCAGGAAGCATGAATGATTCCTAAGCAAGAAATTATACCTTTAAAACTTTATATCAGAATTCCTCAGGGGTTAGTGGGCTTGGCTTGTGCCTTTACTCCATCTGGCAAAATTGTGGTGGAAAGTGAATGGAGCTGTATTTTCTAGTGCTCAAGACAATCCACCAGCTTTCTAGCTCTACCTATATGAATGGGAAAGGAAAGAGAGGAGGGACTTGCTAGACTAGTACTGCTGCTGGTAGTCAGAACTGGCAACAGTGGCTGAACCTAATATCCCTT
The DNA here is from genome assembly GCF_000001405.40 of Homo sapiens. Classification (NCBI taxonomy): domain Eukaryota; kingdom Metazoa; phylum Chordata; class Mammalia; order Primates; family Hominidae; genus Homo; species Homo sapiens. Next base: position 92,207,112 of record NC_000013.11, on the reverse strand, counting down.
CCAAGGTAGAAAAGTTTGGGTAAAATTAAATAACAAATGAAGTGAAGCTCAAGTAACAGCTGAAGGTTAAAAAATGAATAAGAAGATAGGCAAAAAGGAAAATTCAATATTATATTAATACCTCAAGAGAGGCTCATAGCAAAAGATGATTTTTGTCCTTTAGCTCAGTTATCCTAGATGCCTGAAAGGGTGAAGACCATTCCATCTTTTGGAACCTGGCAAGGTTAAATGTAAACCAGCAAACCTGAGAGGCATTGGTCTAGAAGACATTTTGGTCACATGATGTGATGATGGATTGAACTAATTGTTAATGACAGAATGAGATTCTAACAATATGCTAGTCTTTTTTGACTCTTATTTTTCAGATTCCATCTGCCATACTATGGTATGTTGTAACACTGGCCTTGTTGGTAAGATTATAATACTGATATTGATGGTCAAATGTATAAGGAAATTAAGTAAAAGCATCTTCAGGATATAATATTAGTGGAAAATGACTGGTCTGAGGAAAAACAAAATTAATCTAACTATTCAATAATTTCTAGGTTCTATAGTTCTGCATAAGTTTATTTTAAGGTACAAATAATGGTAAACCAAGGAACAAAACATAAAAATACATGGCATGACAGCCGGGTGCGGTGGCTGCATTCCAGCCACCGCACTTTGGGAGCCGAGCTCCCAGCACTTTGGGAGGCCGAAGCGGGTGGATCACGAGGTCAGGAGATCGAGACCATCCTGGCTAACATGGTGAAACCCCGTCTCTACTAAAACTACAAAAAAATTAGCCGGGCGTGGTGGCAGGCGCCTGTAGTCGCAGCTACTCGGGAGGCTGAGGCAGGAGAATGGCGTGACCCGGGAGGCGGAGCTTGCAGTGAGCCGAGATTGCGCCACTACACTCCAGCCTGGGCGACAGACCGAGACTCTGTCTCAAAAAAAAAAAAAAAATAAAAAAAAAAATAAAAAAAACACAACAACGATAACAACAACAACAATAACAACAACAAATATATATATATGGAATGACATTACAGAATGGAATCGTTGTTGGGTTTTTTTTTTTTTTTTTTTTTGAGATGGAGTCTTGCTCCCATGGCGCAGGCTGGAGTGCAGTGGTGCGATCTCTGCTCACTGCAACCTCCACCTCTTGTGTTCCAGCGATTGTCCTTCCTCAGCTTCCCGATTAGCTGAGGTTACAGGCATGTGCCATCACCCTAATTTTTGTATTTTTAGTAGAGCGGGGCTTTCGCCATGTTGGCCGGGCTGGTCTTGAACTCCTGATCTCAGGTGATCCACCCGCCTGGGCCTCCGAAAGTGCTAGGATTACAGGCGTGAGCCACCGCGCCTGGCCGAAATAGTTGTTTTATAAACGTATCACTGTTCCAAATGGCTCCTCCAAACGTTAGGTATATTTATAATGATATCACTGTTGCAGCTGTCATATAAATGCTTTATTAAATGTAAATGTCTAGACAAATGTGATGTTTTGCTGTAAGAAAGGCTTGGCCAAAAGCCCAGAATGTGCCCTCTGTAGTAAAGAATTTGTCCTTGCCCAAAGAGAGGTCTGAATTTTGTTCCCGCTTTCTAGAAAGTAACCTCTAATGAAACCCTTGGAGTTGGAGGAATGATCGGAGAGTCTTTGTTATTTATAGTGGGCTGCCTGGGCCACACCTGATAATTTATGCTAATGAGGTGACTCCTGGTGAGCCCCTCAGCCCATGTGACATCAGCTTGACCTCCAGAGAGGGGCATGATGGAGACCTGGAAGACCAAGTAAAATCAGATAGGTAATTAATCAATCAATCATGCCTATGTAATGAAACCCTAATAAAAACTCTAGGTCTCCAAGATCATGCCATTGCACTTCAGCCTGGGCAATAAGAGCAAAACTGTCTCAAAAAACAAACAAATAAACAAACAAACAAAAAAACAAAACAGGGCCGGGTGCGGTGGCTCAGGCCTGTAATCCCAGCACTCTGGGAGGCCGAGGTGGGCGGATCACGAGGTCAGGAGATCGAGACCATCTTAGCTAACATGGTGAAACCCCTTCTCTACTAAAAATACAAAAAAATAGCCAGGTGTGGTGGCGGGCACCTGTAGTCCCAGCTACTGGAGAGGCTGAGGCAGGAGAATGGCATGAACCCAGGAGGCGGAGATTGCAGTGAGCCGAGATTGCGCCACTGCACTCCAGCCTGGGAGAAAGAGCGAGACTCTGTCTAAAACAAACAAACAACAAACAAAAACCAAAAAACAAACAAAAAAACCTCTAGGTCTCAATGCTCCTATGAGCTTCCTGGATTGACAACATTCTGTGTGTTTTGTCACACATTGTTGCCAGAGGGTAATGTGTTCTGAAAAGGGTAGAAAGCTCATGTTTGGAAACCTTCCAGACTCTGCCCTATGTGTTTCTTCCTTTGGATCTGTATCTTTTCTTTATGATAAATCACAACTATGAGCATAATAGCATAATGGCTTTCAGTGAGTTCTGTAAGTTTTTCTAGTGAATTATCAACGCAGAATTGTTGTGGGAACTCTCAAAACTTGCAGTTGGTGTCAAAAGAGAGGGTAGTGTTGTGTGGACTTTTCCCTTTAATTTTGTAATTGGACCCTGATTCCTTGCTGTTGGTTTCCGAAGTCTGGGCAGACTCGGCAGTCTGAGGGACTGTACCATCAAACTTTGGAGTTTGGCTAGTTCTTGGCAAACATTAATCAATATTTGTAATGTTACCACTTCCCAGACATTGCAAGGGTCTTAGAAAGAGTTAAAACCATTTATTTTTTCTAGCTTGTATTCTAATTATTTGATTGGCATATATGGTAAACCTCATAAGCCATTAGTATCATTTTATGCAAGTCAATGTTCATGTACAATTACTTATAGATTTATCCTTTCAATTGCCATTTATTTATTCCTGAATTTCCTTGTCTCTCACTAGGATCATTTTCCTCTGCCTGAACAATCCCTTTAGTATTTAATAGAAGTTTTCTAGAAACAAATTCTCCCATTCTTTTCTGATTGTCTAGAAGCAACTTTATTTTCCTTTCATACTGGAAAGATATTTTAATATAACATGAGCTTTAAGATTAGGTGTTTTCTTTCACATTTTAAAGATGTTAAACCACTGCATTCTGACTTCAATTTTGTTTTACTATTGAGAAGTTAGCTATTAGTTTTATTACTGCTTCTTTTTTTTCATTTGAGAAAGAAGAGGCTTTTTATTTCTGGCCTGCTTCTATTATTTTCTCTTTGATTTTGATTTCAGCAGTTTTACCGAGATTCACCATTGATGTGATTGTCTTTTTATTTATTCTGCCTGCGAGTCATCGAGATTTTCCTTCTGTTGCTGATTTTTTTTTTTTCCTAGTAAGTTTTTGGAAGTTAAAGTCAAATGACTGGATGGTAAAGGAGTGGCATAATCAATTGCTAGAGATTATTTTGGTTTTATTTATTTATTTTTTTATATATATATATTTTTTTATTATACTCTAAGTTTTAGGGTACATGTGCACATTGTGCAGGTTAGTTACATATGTATACATGTGCCATGCTGGTGCGCTGCACCCACTAATGTGTCATCTAGCATTAGGTATATCTCCCAATGCTATCCCTCCCCCCTCCCCCGACCCCACCACAGTCCCCAGAGTGTGATATTCCCCTTCCTGTGTCCATGTGATCTCATTGTTCAATTCCCACCTATGAGTGAGAATATGTGGTGTTTGGTTTTTTGTTCTTGTGATAGTTTACTGAGAATGATGGTTTCCAATTTCATCCATGTCCCTACAAAGGATATGAACTCATCATTTTTTATGTCTGCATAGTATTCCATGGTGTATATGTGCCACATTTTCTTAATCCAGTCTATCATTGTTGGACATTTGGGTTGGTTCCAAGTCTTTGCTATTGTGAATAGTGCCGCAATAAACATACGTGTGCATGTGTCTTTATAGCAGCATGATTTGGTTTTAAAGTAAATGAAAAGTGTGCAAAATATTAAATTATTAAAGTAAAAATTAAAAGATCTGGGCTCCACATCCAGTTTGTCATCAACTAGTTCTATGGGGGTGAATATTTATTTAAGCTTTTTGTACTATGTTGCTTGATTTCTAAAATCAAACATTGATTGTATGATTGTTAGCTTTTCTTCTAGTTCTAATATTTCATAATTTTTTTTCTTGTAAATTAATAAGGAGCATAAGTTCTCTTGAAAAGTTGACATGATACTAATTGTAAAAAATGTGCTTCAGAAGAATGCTATCCTAGGAGATAATGGAATTCATTTGTCTATTTTTTTTCTCAGCATTTTTCCAGTAGAAAGAATGTGGGATAATTTAGTTTATATCATTCTTAAAGATGGGGAAAGGATTATATTAACAACTCAAGTGACCTTCAGGTTCTCAGACCCTAAGAACCCAGTACAATAAAATGTTTGTGCTTGACTTTTTAAAATGTTGCACTACATTTTCAATAAATGGGCACTAAAACTGCCTGTGGCCTCTGAGAAAGATTACCGTCTCTTATTAGAAAATCTTTGGTTCTTAATGACCATATCCTCCAGTGTGCTAGTGTGTAACTATTTGTTTGTTCTAGTTACAACGTTTGGTCTAAAAACACTACATCAAAATGATAATGCTTCACATGCTTTTGAATTATAACCGTAGTCTATAGTAAGTGGCTATTTGCTTCTCACTCACTTGATTAGCTGTCCTTTAGCATTTACTCCTATTTATTGCCTCACTAATCTGTCTGAATGTATAAACACTAATCAAAATAACAAACACTTTGAAGGTTAAGAAAAACACAAAACATAGCCTGTTCTGCATGCTAAATCTATCTCAACTGGAAACATTAGGTATGTGATCTAGATACATTATTCCAGAACTGAAAGTAAAAATATTACACTGGCCTCTGAAAATTACTAATGACCAAGCTACAGTTACAGTATTTTCAAACCATCATTCTTAAAATGAATAATAAAACATTTTTACATTCTTTAGTTCATCTAGAATCATGTCACTTAATGTTTGAGACTGACTTCTGACATAATCTATAGTCCAAAATCTTTATAGTGTAAATGAAGACCTAAGTATTTAATTGACTTTCCTTAGACAGCACAATTAGTTGGTGATAGCACCAAGGATTAAAATTTAAGTAATCTGATTACTATTGTAACAATCCTGCTACTTCACAATGTTGCCAAAGTAACTTCCATGAAGTAAAAATCAATTTCCCTTATTACTGTATTTTGTTGACATCAAAGACTCCATCAATTGTCAGATGTATTATTGCTTTATGTACACTAAAGAAAATTCCTGGCAAGGTTTCACATGCTATCTTAATACTAATTCTACATAATTTAGTCATTCAATATTCTTGTGTTCTTTAATTTCTTTTGTCTCTTTCAAGACATCTAGCAATCTCCCCCACCTGTAGTTGCATTGTACCTGAATCAGTAACCTAGCATAGCTTCATCAACTTGTGGGAATCCTACTATCTTAGGTCTTCTAAAACACTTGGGTTTTGTTCCAAAAGAAAAAAAAATGGAATGGAGTTCATTCTTCAGATGCTAAATATTTGCTTCAGGAATATCAAATGCATGCATCACTGCTGTGTTCTAGAAACTTTCTGTGAAGACAATATGTATTTTTTTGTTTTCATGCTGAACCATAGTGTAACCTGTTTTAAAGATATCTTCTATGACAGTTGAACCCAACACTTGTAGTATCAACCATGCACATCAATTGAAGTGACAATGTGCCATGGCTGCTCCTCGGCCAACAGCAATGTATCAAATATTAGATTTAACCAAGTGTCACTGTTGTAACTTAGAACTGATGAAATACCATTTTCAACCATCTCATCCATCATTTTATGTAAAGTTTACATCTTTGTCCATAACATTAATATCTTCTCTTCAAGAGTGAAAGGCATAAATAATGGCATCTCAGACTTTTACAGAATAAAGATCATGAATAACCTAAACAATATCAGATCTTTACCATTGGCATTCACTAAAGTCCAGAGATGATGACGTTCAGTATATCCTTAATGATAGGGAAGATGAAAGAATAGGAAGAGAGAGAAGGCGTAACCTCCCGTGTGTGTGCGTGTGTGTGTGTGTGTGTGTGTGTGTGTGTGTGTGTCTGAGTGCCTGTGTGTCTGTCTGTTGCTCTCCCTACACTCCTCCAATTTATTCTGGGAAATGTGTCCTGAATTCTTCAGTTTAGATACACTTCTCATACTCCGACCCTGAGGTCACAACAGGAGCCAGCATCTTTTCCCGTGAAGCTAACTCCACAGTTACAGTTTTTGATTTAATGATGCCACCTGACCAGGGCTCGTCCAATCATTGTACCTAATTCTTTAGCTACAATAATTGGTCTAGCTTTGGGCACATGATCCAATCGAATCCAGTTGGAAACTCCCCCATGGTTTTACAAAATGAAGCTGAAAGCTGGAATTTTTAGATAGGTATGAGGATATAAGCACTGATAATGTCTGAAATCATGCTTTTAACCTTGTCAAAAAACAGTCTGAGATAATTTGTTTGGAACATAACAGAAAATGAGAGGTAGGGAGAATCTCAACTGTTATAATTTTCTAGTTCCTCTTATTGAGGCCTTGTATAGTTTTATGTGAGCCAAATAATTACCTGTTTTGCTTAAGTACATTCGAGTTGAATGTCTTGCATTTACCACCAAAAGAGCTCTGGCTAACACAGTTACTGAAAAACAAATGTGTGCTTAGCAAATGTTTATGATTAAGGGTAATACAGCCGTAATTGTTTTGTTTGACAGCAAATGTCACTTAGTCACATCAAGTAAGAGCACAATAGCGTTCATAGATGTGAATAAAACACTCATTGAGATTGATTTTTTTCCTCTTAATTTTATTCTGAACTCATGTTTTAAAAGAAAACGTGAGAAAAATTTTATTTGGCACTTGGAAAAAGGGAAATATAAAAGAAAGAAAATTAAGATGAATTCAAAGTACACAGTCATCCTTTCCTGGTATGTTCTTACATAATCAAAACAAAGCTTGGCCAAATTTAAAGTTAGAATGGCTGTGCTTCATATTCTCAATGAAAATACATTGAGCAAAGACTTAGGTAAGTATAAGTGTTTTTCAGCATGACATACTAACAAAATCCAGGTAATCCTCAGCTTGCTCTAAAGTTTTATTTTAAAAAATGTATATTGCAAGCTTTTACCTGTACCTATTTTCTCAAAGAAATTCCTGAGACACGATGTTATATACAGCAGTCTAGAGGGATTTCTTGTGGCTTTTTTTAAAAAAAATTGTGTTTAAATTGATACAGGCAGTGTCAACATTTCTGCCTGAATTTTAAAATAAAACTTCAATGCTTTTTTGGTTTATTTCAAAGGGGCAAGTCTCTTGCGTGGACAGAAGACAGTCCCAGGATAGATCCAATTCTAATATTTCTTTAGTAGTGTTGGAATATTGGGCCTTTAATATTTGCCTATAAAATAGCCAAACATACAAAGTGTAAAAATAATGACCAATGTTCTCTTTGTAATTACAGTCTAATTGAAAGTAGACAGTATTTCAAGTCAATATTTTATTTCCAACAATGATGGAACCTACTTTAAATTTTTATGAAAGAAAATATCTTTTTTTATTATTCAATTTTATCTCAAATATTGAGAATTAACCATTTTCTATAACTGGAGACATTTATATTTTGGAATTAAATGAAAAGTCTATTAATTTGTTAATTTTGCATCCAACTTAAATAAGGGGTGATTTTGGAATAAGTTAAACCCGCAGATATTTTACATATCTTTTTATATTGAGTGGGTCAGGCTAGAAGTTGCTGATTGTGGAGACTGAAAGACACAGGTCCGTGCAGTAAAACAGAAAAATGCACTTTTCAAATATTATTTTCTGCTCCCTAACCAAACGATGATCACATATGCATGTTTTACAGAAGTAATAACCTATGTGGCAACAAAAATCCAATTCTAAATGGGCCTCATGCCCTAGCTTTAGTACTACTGAGCGCTCTGTAATTTCCTTTGATGTAGCATTGATGTGTCAGTTAGTGGCAAATTATTTTTCCATAGAAGAGTATCAAACAGTATTTTTTGGCTTCCTCTGAATGCTAAGCACTTTTAAAAATGAAATACAAAAATCAATATTGCTTATGAAAAATACTTATCATCTGTGTGTCTGCTATCTCTATGGTGTCTCAATTTGAGTATGGAATTAATGGAATAAGACCTGGTTCAGACTCACCATTTTCCTTCTCATTTTAGTATATGACCATTTCTCGGTTTCTGAGATAGAGATGTGACCTACTCTCCCCAAATTGTCAGAAATAATTTTTTTGGGGATCCTTTTATAGCTATAATTTACTTGCAAAGATTGTACGAATGCCCACTCTGAATCAGAAGTGAAAATGTATCAGGTCAATAAGTAATCTTCCCATTGGCTTCAAAGGCTAGACAGCTGGTGATTTCCTCTTGACATCAGTCTTGACGGGAGCAATGTGTCTACATCCTGACTTTACTCACTGCCAGTCTGCCTACATTTAATCCACATCAGTCCACATTAATCCACATTCATGATGGAAGCAAGAATAATATTTGAGCTAATTTGGTCATTCAAATATCTGAACTATAAGTCATCAATTTGGACTTTAGAATGCTGTGGGGAAATCATCATTCATTAAGAAAGAAGTATTATTAATTAATAAGGAGCATATCTATGATCTGTCAATGAGGTATCAACCAACCTATCAACAGAAGAAATTTTTATTGGACATCTCTTAGTAACAGGCTCCATCCTAGGTTAAAGGATATAGAGGAATGTAGCACCAGTAAGGATGCTGTTCTCATGAAGGTAGCATTTTAGTGTGGAGAGACATATCATATACAAATAGGTAATATATAGACAAACATGTAACAAGACATTTTTAGATTGGGATAATTTCTCTGATGTAAAATAATAGGATGCTATGATATTGGGGGATGGCTGAATTATTCAGATAAAGTCAGAAATGATTCCTCAGAGAAGGTGATATTTGACTTTAGACTGAGAAGATAAGAAGCCTCAGGTCCAGAGTCAGGCACATGAATTCCAGGAATAGGAAAATAACAAGTGCAAGGACTTTGAGGCAAGGATTTTTTTGGCATGTTGGGAATCAAAAGAAGGCCCACATGGCTGCAATGTACTACTGTTGGCATGCAATGACTCAGAGTGGTAGAGGTGGAAGTAGGGTATCATACGGAGTTGTTTGGGAAGCAGTAAGACATCTGGATTTTATCTTAAGACATATGGGGTGCCTGGCTCGGTGACTCATGCCTGTAATCCTAGGACTTTGGGAGGCTGAGGCAGGTGGATCGCTTAAGCCCAGGAGTTCGAGACCAGTCTGGGAAACATGGCAAAGCCCCATCTCTAGCAAAAATACAAAAATACAAAAAAAAAAAAAAATTAGCCAGATGTGATGGCGATGCCCTAAAGTTCAGGCTACTTGGGAGGAAGAGATGGGAGGATCTCTTGAGCCTTGGGGGTTGAGGCTGCCATGAGCTGAGGTTGTACCACCACACTCCATCCTGGGAGAAAAAGCGAGACCCTGTCTCAAACAAACCCCAATAGGAAAAAATATATGTGGTTTGCCCTTCAAGTGATTTGAGCAAAGATTTAATCTTTGTATATAAATCATATTTTCCAGCTTCCCTTTTACTTCCTGATATCTAGATCTACCTACAGCGATCAATATAGTTATAAAGATATAGATAGGTATAGACGTTCTATAGATATAGACGGATGTAGATACACTTATTTATGTCAATATTATTTATATCTGTATCTATCATATATCCCTCTATATGAAGTCTGTAAGAAAATTTATGGTCTGGGGGTTTTTATCTTATTATTTTTTTTTCACATCCTTGGAACCTCAGAGAAGGGAAATTGTGAGTGAAGGGAAGAAGAAACTTCCAAAGGGTATTAGGAATACCCTTTAAAAGGGAGGTGCTTGAATGAGCTCTTCGCAGGAGCGGAGACTTTGTTAGAGTTGCTATCCCCCACTGCTGTCTGTGGTGCGACTCACTTCCCTCATCTTCAGAGTTCACTCGCTTTTGTTGCACGATTCATATTGTTTCCAGTGTACCGTTTTCGGTATCTTAACATTTCCTGTATAGCAGGCCTACCCAAATAAATATTATTTTAACTTAGGAGCATGTCATTCAGGATAAAATATTTTACACTCTCTGAAGATAGAAACGGGAGTGTACCACTTTCACCCACTGCTTTCTGTGCCTAGAAACCATCTGCTTCTGTCTGCGCCTGTTTATCAGTAAGATGAGCTGCTGTTGATATTGAAAGCTCTCCCAGTTACCCTGCGTCTGACATGGATACGAAGAGAAAAGGGCAGAGTTACAGCTTTTGATGTTGGCATGTTAGAAAGCAGAAAACAGAATAGCTGAGCAGCTAGAGAAATGTTGCCTTTGGATTGTGAACAGAGGGGCCATAGGAAAAGTTTTACAAACAAAAGTGAAATTTCTCTGAGACTTCATGACTAAAATTTTTAGTGGGGCCAGTTAGATTATAATAAAGCTTTCATTTGACAGTAATTATATTCTAGGGCTGTAATTATATTTTAGGGCTGATTAAATATAGAACAATAAAAAGCTAATGAAACCTAGACTTTTCCCTCTTAAAAAACCATTTCAATTAAAATTTAAAATAGATATTAAATATATGTATTAAGTGCCTTTGTACATAGAAATCTTTATTTCTATTCATATTCCTGTGTAAGAAGTACATACCTTTAAAATAAAACATAATCTGTCTAATTAAATCTTATAAAATATCAGGTGCTATCAGCATAAATGGCTGTAAAATTGATATTAATTTTTCAAAGTTTTCAAACTATTTTATATAGATACTTAGTACTTCATTGTTAGCATATCATGTAGCATTACTTTTTTTTCAAGGGGATACATCTTTTTTCCCAATAAATATTACACATAGAAATGTAAATTTTGAAGATAATATTAATGAAAAGCAAAATTAACTTTAATTAGTTTTCCGCTGTGCTTCCACTTTGCCCTGAGCGCCTGCCTCAACTGGCTCTCTTTCAGACCCTGAAAGTCTTGGCAGTTCCATGCCAAAGGGCCTGCGCCTCCTTGTTAAAAGTGCTACACTCTCCTTAAACCCCTATTCACTCTTCAGGTCACTCTCAGAGCCCCCTTCTGAGTCCTGGTACACAGTGAGCACATAAGTATATGCTGAGTAGATGAATGGGTAGATCAGTGAAAACCCGGGATAAAGTTAATGACAAATGAACCTAAGTAATTAAAGGCTATAATGATTTTTATTAAGTATATAAATAACTTATTCTAAATGAAGTATCATTTGAGTTTATTACAGTCACTGTTCATCAAAACTGACCTTGCCAGATATTTCGTGTTTGCCATGTGCCCTGTCATCTAGCTTCAGTTATGATTCTAAATCAGTGGTTTATTCTTGTGTCCTTAACTTCACCATGGCTACTGACCCATTTACATACGTGGTGTCAGTAGAAGCATATGAGTGGGAATGCAGTGTAGTTATGAAAAGCAGTTGATTTGGCCTCCAAAAAAATTTGGGTTTGAATCTGAGATTCAAATACTTGCCATACAGTAAGATCAATATACTGGTAATTTATTTGGAGCCAATACGCTCCTAACTCAAGGGGTTATTTTAAAGGTTAAATTAAATAATGACTATAAACCTAATAAAGATGACACACTTTGCACGGAGCTTGGCTTAATTCTTTTTTACTCCTCTTTTGTAAATTTATAATACCAGACGCTGATTAGGCCCTGTCTTGTTTAGTTTTAGGCACTGCACATATGTATCACTGAATTAAAAAGAACAACCACCACCACCGTTTTTTGGCTGTCTCTAGATTAGAGATCAAAACTATTTTATTGTATGAGAAAATGCATAGAGCTTAATATTGAATATTATAATGTTGATTTATCTTGAAGGGCCATGCAGTCTTAGTGGCTTGATTTTCAGATTCATTGTCAATTCTTATCGTTGGTTTCAATTTATGCCTTTCTAAAATATCTGTAATGTAATACAAACTCCACAAATCTACAGCAGAGATCTTTGACTGCTAATGCTTCTCTGATTTAAGGTTTAGAATTTCCAATGATAATTACCATAAAATAACCTTATTTTTTCCTGATAAAAGAAGTCTTTGAATTTGTGCTGTTAGCCATTCAATCATGACCCTAAAATCACTTTCCTTCTCACTCTACCTTAGATTACAAGGAAAGGCCTGAAAGACCATGTTGTTGGAGAAAGACCATTGGAAGTGAAATCTGATGGGGAGGCTAATACTAGGTCAGAAAGAGCCTAATATACACCCCCTGCTCATTCCTTTTACATTTCAGTTTTATTTTTCCTAGTCTACTCTCTGATGCATTTGAGAATACCTGCAGGCTGCAGCAAACTGAAACTGATTTCCAAATTCACAGAACACACTTACCTAGCTATGGCCATTATGTAATTTCTGAATGAGGATACTATTTTTCAGTGAGGAAATATGCAAAAGTATTATAAGACAGGTTTGTGGCAGTGAATGAACCTTGAACTTATAATCATGGCATCTCTGTAGCCTAGCACCTTTCAAAATTGCTCAGACAGGAGACTTGTTTTAACTGTTTTCTTTCTCATCTGCAAATAATGGATCCTAATATCTAGTCCACAGTGACGGTATTAGGATCAAGTGTGTTTTTATGAGGGAGAGCCTATGGCATGCATCACACACCTTCTGAACATTGTCATGTCCTGAGTGTTGCTCTGGAGTCGGAGGTACTCACTATTTGCATCCCAAGCACACAGGATGAACTGTGTGAATTCAGGCAAGGTGCTTAAACTCTCTGATCATCACCTTGTGTTTTGTTTTAGTTGTAAAATGAGGATAATAATCTGTACTTCATAAGGTTGTTATGAGAGTAAATTGCCATAAAGAAGTAATAGTACTTAAATGGACTCCATAAACTATGATAATTTCCATTATTCTTCCTCCCTTCTTTCCTTTCATTCGTATAACAAAGATGTATTAAGTTACTGTTGAGTTTCTGCTATTGGCCAGGCACTGAGTTCACCATGGTACTAAACACTGCAGATTCAAAAAGAATATTATTTCTCTTCCCCTTAAAATGTATATAGTTGGATAAGAAGAAATAAATAAGTAAAAATATAGCAGTACGTAATTACCTGTGCAACAAAAAGCTGTATGGAGTATAATGGGAACAAAGAATGGAGTGGTTAATCTTCTTGGCCAATAAAAGCCTCTTGAAAGAGAATGTAGTGTACATGTAATTTAATTAAGGAAGTATCAGAAAGGATGCAGGACTTCTGGGGCAGAGCCGAATGGGTGTAGCCACTTAGATCCTGCCCAAAGAGTGTCAACAATTCCTTAGCACACCAGTAGGAGTGAATATAACTGTCGGATTAATTTGTTTACAATGATAGGAAAATGGTTTAAGTTTACATTTCAGAGTTGAACTATAATCATTCTTAAGAGGTAGTTTTATCATTTTAATCAAATCTGGAGTTAAATAATTCTCTCTTGTCCATTATCCAATATAGGATTCTCTCATCTATTATCCAATATAGGAAACTCTCTGGGAATTCTCCTTTCCTGTTAGTTACATACACAAAATAAAGTGAATACTGTTACTCTTTCACAGTACTGGAGATATGGAGTTCAGAATTTGTATTGTTTCATAATATAAATGCAAATATGTATGCTATTTGATTCCATTTTGAGTTATGAACCAGTAAACTCTGCTTTTTTTATTGGAAAAAGAAAATATTTTATTTCAATGTAAAATTTTGTAGGCAGAAATTGAATTAATAATATTCTTGAAATTTCTACCTGAGCATAATATGCAATATATTTTTTATTATTTTTTTTTGAGACAGAGTCTCGCTCTGTCGCCCAGGCTGGAGTGCAGTGGCGCCATCTCGGCTCACTGCAACCTCCAGCATCCTGGTTTAAGCAATTCTCCTGCTTCAGCCTCCTGAGTAGCTGGGATTACAGGCACTCGCCAACACACCCAGCTAATTTTTGTATTTTTAGTAGAGATGGGATTTCACTATGTTGGCCAGGCTGGTCTCAAACTCCTGACCTTGTGATCCGCCCGCCTTGACCTCCCAAAGTGCTGGAATTATAGGCATGAGCCACAGCGCCTGGCAGCAATATGTTTTTAATAAATTCTCAGTAAATTTTTTTCAAATTATTTCAAATTTTAAAAAAAGTAATAATGAAAAATATGTGTATTTGTCATGCAAACATAATGGTATTAAACTTATTTGCTGTAAAGTATGTTCTACATTTCAGTAATCTGCAATCCCATACGTGGGCATAGACATAAAATTAATCTAAAATGAAAGCTTTTTAAATTATTCCCTTGTCAGCTAAAATTAATAAACACTGTTCTCTCCAATAGACATCTAATTTCATAATTACCAAATGCTTCAACTAAACAATACTTTTTTTCTCCACATTTAGAATTAAAAATAAACTCATATTGCTTTTTATAATTTTAAGACAATTTAGAAGAAAGAAATGTGAAAAAAGGAATGATCATTGTTATCACGCATTTATTTTTACTTACTAAACCTAGTCCATAAAATGTTGGATAATTTCCTTGAAAAATGAGCTCCATATGTATATATTAATTAATAAACTTTTAGAGCAGTTATATGTTCACAACAAAATTGAATGGAAAGTACAGAGTTCCTATATACTCCCAACCCCACTCGCACACCTTCCCCATTTATCAGTTTCCCCTGCGAGAGTGGTATATTTGTTTTAATAAATGAACCAACATTGACACATCATTATCATCCAAAGTATCAATTGACATTAGGGTTTGCTCTTGGTATTGTACGTTCTCTGAGTTTTGACAAATGTATAATAACAAGTATCAACCACTGTAGCTTCATACAGAATAGCTTCACCACCTTAAAAATTATTTGTCCTCTATCTATTCACCCCCTTCACCTCCTAACCCTTAGCAACGACTAATTTTTTCACTGTCACCATAATTTTTCCTTTTCCAGAATATTATATACAGACAGTCCCTAATTTACAATGGTTTGATTTGTAATTTCTTGATTTTACTGTGGTGCAGGAGCAATACACCTTCATTATGTTCTGTGACTTACAACGGGGTTGTGTCTGGATAAACCTACTGTAAATTAAAAATATCCTGAGTCAAAAATACACTTTCAACCTACAATATTTACAATTTACAATGAGCGTGCAATCCCATTTGGAAGCTGAGGAGCATTTTTAGTTAGAATTACAGAGTCTTGAGCCTTTCCAGACTGGCTTCATTCTTTTAGTAAGAGCATTTAATATTCCCCCATGTCTTCTCATAACTTGATAGCTTACTTCTTACAAGTACTGAATTATATTCCATTGTCTAGATATACCGCAGTTAATTCATTCACTTACAAAATGGCAACTTGGTTGCTTCCAACTTTTGTCAATTATTAATAAAGCTGCTGTAAAGATCCATGTACTGCTTTCTATATGGATATAAGTTTTTAATTCATTTGGGTAGTGCAATTGATGGAACATATGGTAAGAGTATGTTTAATTTTCTAAGAAACTGACAAACTCTCTTTCAAAGTGGTTGTAGCATTTTACATTCCCGTCAGCAATTATTGAGAGTTCCAGCTGCTCCACATTCTCACCAGCATTTGGTGGTGTCAGTGTTGTGAATTTTGGCCATTTTTATAGATGAGTAATGATATCTCATTTTTTAAAATTTGTAATTTCTTAAGACATATGATGTTGAACATGTTTTTATATTCTTATATGCCACCTGTATATCTTAATGGTGGGATGTCTATCAGCCTTTGCCTGACGTATTTTGACACTTTGTTATTAGGTACATACACATGAAGGATTGCTATATCTTCTTGGAGTATTGACCCTTTATCACTATATAATGCCCCTTTTTTATCTCCAGTAACTTTCCTGTCTGAAGCTCACTCTGTCTGAAATTAACATAGCTAGTCTCAGTTACTCTTGATTATGTTCATGGTATATCTTTTGCCATCCTTTTGCTTTAATCTACATGTGTTTTTATATTTTAAAGTGGGTATTTTATAGACAACATATAGGTAGGTCTTGATTTTTCATCTATTCTTACAATCTCTGTCTTTTAATTGGTATATTTAGAACTTTCAGGTTTAAGGTGATTATTGATACAGTTGGAGTAAAACCTACCGTATTTGTTATAATTTTCTATCTGATGCCCTTGTTCTTTGTTGTTTTTCTTCTACCTTCTGCCTTTTGTGGTTTTAATTGAGCATATGATTTCATTTTCTCTCCTGTCTTAGCTTATCGATTATACTTTTTCATTTTTTAGTTTTTAAAATGGTTTTCATAGAGTTTGCAATATACATTTTAAATGAATCCAAATACACTTTCAAATAACACTGTATCACTTCACAAGCAGTGCAATTACTTTATAACAAAATCTTCCTAATTCCTTCCTCCTATCTCTTGTATCATTATCATTCGTTTCACTTATGTATAAGCATACATATGCATATATAATGCATAAGTATATGGAATCCAAAATATTGTTGCTACTATTATAGTGAAGAAATTATGTATTACTGCAACGAAGAAAAATAACTTTTTCAAATTTTACTTTGATTTATTAATTTTCTGATGTTCTTCCTTTCTCTATGTAGATATGATTTTAGGACCTATATAATTTTTTCTTCTCTCTGAAGCACTTAAGATTTTTTGCAAGGCAGTTCCACTGGCAACAAATTCTCTAAAATTCTGTTTGTCTAAGAAAGTGTTTCTTCTTTACTTTTGAAGGATTATTTCATAGAGTAGAGAATTCTCCATTGGTGGTTTTTTTTCTCTCTCAACACTTTGAATATTTTATTCCACTTTCTTCTTGCTAGCATGGTTTCTGAGGAGAAGTCAGATGTAATTCTTATTTTTGCTTTTTTATAAGCTTCTTTCAAGATTTTTCATCTTTGATTTTCTCCAGCTTGTACATAATCTGCCTAGGGGTAGTTTTTTAAGCAGTTGTTCTGGCTGGTGTTCTCTGAGCTTCGTGGATCTGTGAATTGGTGTCTGACATGAATTTGGGAAAATTGTCAGTCATTATTTCTCCCAATGTTACTTCTGTTCCTTTCCTTCTTTTGCTTTTCAGTTTTGGAAGTGTCTGTTGCGAAATCTTCAAGCTCATAGATTCTTTTCTCAGTTCTTTCCTGTATACTAATGAGCCCATTGAAAAGCATTATTCATTTATTTGACAGCACTTTCTTTAATCTTTCCTGGAATTTCTACCTCTCTGGTTACATTATCCATCTGTTCTTGTATTTCCATTAAAGCTCTTAGCATATTAATCATAGCTTTAAAAAAAAAATGCCTGGCCCAATAATTCCAAAACCCTGCCATATCTGACTCTGATTCTCATACTCGTTCAGTCTCTTGAAACTTTTGTGTGTGTGTGTGTGTGCACGTGTATGGAAAGGCAGACACGATGTAAAAGAAACTGAAGTAAACAGGCCTTCAGTAATGTAGTGGCATGCTGGAGGGGGAACAGAATTGTTCTACAGTCTAATATTTAGGGTCAGTCTTTTAGTGAGCCTGAACTTCTGGACTCTGAACTTCACAAGTCATTCTCATTGTCCCCAACTAAGGTGGGGACAGAACGGCTGGAGGTGGCTGGAGTTGCATAGTTCCCTTGCCCCACTTGGGAGACTAGAGTTGGCTAGAGTTGGGTATTTCCCTCCCTCCAGGTAGGTTTGGCTGTTAATGAAATCCCAAAAGATTGGGTCTGGTAAAATAGTTTCTCCTGAGGATGGGCCAAGTTAAGAGGAACAGAAAGTTCTGACATATTTTTAAATGGTTCCTTTTCTCCCCTTCCTGCTGGAAACATAAAGGGATTTTTCTCAGATAGTCACCGTGGGGACCTAGTAAAGCTCCTGAAGGTAAAATTCACAAGTGTGATGCCCCTTCTATGACTAGGTGCCCCTGGAGTTTTCAGCCTCCAGCAATGCATCAATTATCCATCAGGTTATCCTCCCCCTACACCAGTTCCTGTTGTGCTTTCAGCAAGTGAGTTTCTGCTTTAGTAAGTTGTGATGTTTTGTACCTGCCTGTCTCTCCAAGTTTTAGGGCAGTGATTGCCTCGTGACCTCACTGCTCTAACAGAGCTAAGAAGGACTGTTGGCTTTTCTGTTGTTTAGCTTTTCACCTGCTGTCGGGTGGCATGGTGATGTGCAAATTTCTTAGATGCTGAACCAGAAAGTGGAAGGCCACCAAATATGTCAACTAAGCAATTCTTTTTCCTCCATGTTCAAAATAAAAATTAAACATATTGCTGAATTTTTATTTATTTTATGATAATTAGGAAAAAGAAATGTGAAAAACCCTGTTATATATAACTGTTATGCAGCAATTATATTTACTTATTAAATCTATTCAATTAAATGTGGAATGATTCATTTAAACAATGAGCATCATAGGTATTTTTATCTGGTCTTACTTTTATTTCATACCATTATTGTCATGGATTTAGTGAATAGGAGTAAAACTATTTATTCAAAATCAAGGGTACAAAATAAATAAATACATAAAATAAAGGCATCTTCACTTTTTCTTATCCTTTCCCTTTACTTTCTCTCTTGTAAGATGCAATTTTTACTCCTGATTCTGACAATTAATTAATTGAGTGCTTGTGCTTTTAGTAACATGAATTTCTCCTATTGTATTTCTTAAAATATAATCAAGTTGAGCCCCTTTCATCTGTCAATAAGTCTTTTCACTGTCTCCTTTCTTTCCTCCTGCCATCAGCAAACAATACATTTGGAACTGCATGGAAGGCTATCTCAACTGTCTCAGGAATTTTTTTAAAAATCAGGTGTTTAAATATTACATATGCAACTAGTATTTTTAAAGAGCCCTGTTCTCTCGAAGGAGAGATTCCTGCAGTAATGATTGATTTATTTACTCCCATGAGACTGAGGTGGGACTAGGAGAGAGAAAAAAAAAGCCAAAGTAGGTACTGTCATATCACAACATAAATAAATGGGTTTCAGAATGAAATTAGTTACCCTAGTGGGATTTCTATGTTAAAAAATAAATAATAAAATGTCAGTGGCACAGTTTGTGGTTAGAAGGAGAACAGATCTTGAAGGGAGTAAAGAAAACTTTATTTCACATTTAGTCATACTGTTCTTTACATGAGTAATTAAGTCTGAGAATATTGTACTGAACAATGATGATAGAAATTAATAGATTCTAAATGAAGCATTTTCCTTTTATTCTCAACAGCTGTTCATTTTTACTTAGTATGCACATCTTTCCCCAATATGACAAAAGTAAAATTATTCTTTAGGAAATTAATCACATGTGTCTCATTATTTCAAATAAAATGTTCTAAAGCCCAGCTTCTTTCTAGATTGTTGAATAATCTCTTCACAGCACCCACCTCAGAATGACAGTGAGGGGTGCAGTGCCACCTTCTGGTAAAGAGAGGAATTGCTTTTTATTGTGCAAAGAATTACCTTGAACATTGGAATCCAGTATGGAAATACAGGGTAACTAAAAGGGTATTTTTAAGCATTGACTTCATTCACCCTATCATATGGCATGACGTGTTGAAATTGAGTCCATTGAGACCATAGTTTGATTTAAAATTGCAGCATTTTTGAGTCCTCTCAAGGGGAAGCAAGCACTCTATCAAGTCAACATGCCTTAACAATTTCATATGTTAAAAGATAGCAAATGAATAATTTGTTTTAGAAAATGTACTAGGGAAGGAATATACCTTTCAAGAGTCCAACAAACTTAAGAACCTACTGCAATCCATTCTTAAAGTGGATGTACTAACTTATTTTGGAGGCTGACTTATGCGTGTAAATACAGGTTACATTGAGGGTTTTCATACATGCTGAGTGAACAGTTTCAGAAGTAATTTTTTTTTTTTTTGAGATGGAGTTTTGCTCTTGTCACCCAGGCTGAAGTGCAATGGCGCAATCTCAGCTCACTGCAACCTCCACCTCCAGGGTTCAAGCGATCCTCCTACCTCAGCCTCCTGAGCAGCTGGAATTACAGGTGTGCACTAACACGCCCGGCTAATTTTTGTATTTTCAGTAGAGACGGGGTTTTGCCATGTTGGCCGGGCTAGTCTCAAACTCCTAACCCCATGTGATCCTCCCACTTCGGCCTCCCAAAGTGCTGGGATTACAGGCATGAGCGGAAGTAAATTTTTAGGTAATGTGGGCATAATGATCTTCCACTGAAACATACTTGTATATGCATTTCTTCATCTGATCGTCATGCCAAACAATGAGACACTGTATTACACATGAGTGGATTGAAGCCAAAGTGGGCAAGTCACCAATCCTTGACGATGCAGTCAGTAGTGAGTTAGAATCAAATCCAGTATTCTAATTCAAATTTTGAGTTTTTCTGGAAAATACTTCTCATTTAATTCCCTGAATATCTTAATGTTTTTGCCGATGAGAGTAAATATATTTTAAAACCTTACTAAGCATTTGTGTTTAATTCCCCATGCCAAAATATCCAATACTAGTTAATATATTTTATTATAGAAACCTATTTATTATATAATGTACATTCTGGCCAAAATTTACTCATTATATATATTAGAAAAAACAAATATTATATTACACATATATGATTGCTAATTAAGATTTCCCTTGCAGTCTCTGGAAATTATACTATATCCAATGATAATTATGATACATTTTCAAATTTTCAAATCTTATTAAGGTTCTTTTCCAAATTTCAAAGCTGAAATGCCCAAAAGATGAAAACCTATATTAAGGATCTACATTTACAACTTATTTGTTAAAAATTATTAAAAATTATATATCTATAAAATATTCAGAAGATAATGTCTACCAGAATGCTTTTGTTAAAAGATCAATGTTCTGCTTGCATCACTTTGAGCAGCAACTCTGTTAGGATCTGTGGTCTTGAAATATAACTGCCTCTGAGTTCCCTATTTTTGCAGCAAACTTTTCATAATATCTGATTTTATACTTACATTTAACTTTAAATTAATATTTCATTACTGCTCAAAGCTGTTATTACATTTTATCTTTGAATATTTCCCATTAATTGACTCACTCTTAGCATTCAGTATCTGTATATTTTTTATCTGGAGAATATCAAGCTGTAAAATGAAAACAATGATGCTTGCTTTATCTATTCTTTCCCAGAGTTCACTGAGAACCTAATAGTTATTGAATACTATCAATATTATCATTTACATGGGAATCAATCAACATATTCTAATTTGGTTGCAACACAGGGTCATAAGCTAATTGACAATGATGTAGAACAATTTTTCAATCTCAAAATGTAGGGTTAAGTTGAAGATACACTATTTTATGTTTTGTTTTATTTACTCTTAGCTGGAGTTAAATTTATATTATTAAAACCAAATCATAAGATTATTTTCTGGTTCTGTGAGCTCAAATAGGTCTGGAGAGCCTCAGCTCTGTGAAGTTGAAAAAAAAAATTCATTTCTTCTTATTGTGGTGAAAAGGAGTCATTTATTTTTGAAAATGCTCTAAAGTATGACTTTAATGAGAGTAAAATAATCAGTTAGTTTACTTCTCTGGAGAACTGAGGCATTGCCCATAGTGGATCATAACTCAAGAAACTACATCTTAGTAAGTTTAAGAGAATTCATATTAATATTTTGAGCTGGAGATCAGGTAAGTGATATCTATGTCCATACTAGCATGAAGATCAAAATTATTGTATTTTCACTTTTATACAAATTACTAACTTAAAAGGAAGAATTCCCACAGACTTGCTAAGGAGAAAACAGAATAAAAAACTGTGTGTTATGCCACTAGTTCTGACTAACTGAAGCTGATAAAGGTCCCAGGATATTGAATGACCCTGGCACATCAGACTTTTACTGGAGCAAGCTGAAGACTGATTCTTGAACAATAAACAATGGGACTCAGTGCATCTAACTGTGTACAAACCTATGGGCTCATTCTGTCCTATTGCAGGTGCTACTGTCCAGTACTTACTTAATTTGCAAAATTGACATGAAATTCTCCTTTCTAGCATTTAAAAATCCTGTTGTTTTTACCTTTTCAGCAAATTACTTAGTGAATTTCTTCACTGTTGTGTGTTTGCCCAACCCTGGCACATTACTAGACATGGCTTTGTAAATTTCTTTGTTTAGTTTTGGTGGTCTTTGAATACCTTAATTATGTATGCAGTTTCATATTAATTACCAGAAAAAGAATAAAGATATAGAGTTTCAGAATGAGTAGATACCTTAAAAATGATACACTCATATAATATGGTAGACTAAGGTGATCTAAACTTTCTCTCATTACACACACTTAGATAGGCTGAATTAAAATAAAACAAAAAATATTTTAAAGGCATAGCTAAATTTTCAACAAAAAAGTATCTTCAGGTTTCCTAACAGAATTAAATCCAGAACAACCAATGTTTAATCTTTCACTGGGGATTCCTAGGTAGTGAAGAGATGATTGGAAGGTTGCTCTTAGTTATTTAAGGAGACAATTTTGACACAAAGACAGAAGCTAAAAGCTTGGGCCTCAGGAGAAGTAGGAAGTGGGGAAGGGAGAGGGGGCTACTCCCTAAAGCTGAGACCCTCAGAGAGCTGCCTATTCAAAGATATATCCAATGGCTAAAGTTCTAAAGAACTCTAGTAATAGAAATAAATTTTTTTGTGTGCTCTCCTGACTCTGGAGAAGATTTTTAAAATAGATTTTGAAGGAGGTTAGGTCTTCAACTAGAGCAGTTTGATATTCAAATTTATACTCTGTGTATATATAATTAATGAGAGATTTCTTATGGAGTTTTAGAACAAGCTAACATGATCATTATATGGTATCTCATACTGGAAGCCTCCTCAAAAGAAAAAAGAAAAAGCCAAACCAAAGATGAATTTGCAGTATAAATAATACACCATAAGCAAAAGACAGCACATAAAATAAAGGGCAGGATTAGAGCCATATGAATTTGAGATAATTATATGGTAATCTAGCAGACAATATAAAATTATAATAATTAAGATGACACTTCAATAACTTTTTTAAAAATATGATATAATTTAAATTAATAGTATCAGTGGTTGGATTAAAATACCCTATTAGATAAGATCAAAGAGAAAATTGGTAAACTAAATGATATTTATTAAGAGATTACCCAGAATGCATCATGTTATTTAAAAAGATGACAATCTTATTGACTAAAGTTGTAAGAGATCTATGAACAAATCTCACCAAAATATGCACCTAAAATTCATAAAAAGCATCATAAAACTTGATTTAAAAACCACAAAATTAGACCTAAGTTGAGAAATATACCATATTTACATTTGACAGAATTACTATTATAAATATGGTATGATTCCTTAACTAATCTATACATTTATTGCAACCAAAATAAAAATTCTAGCAGTTTTTCCAAGGGTTTTTAATCTTAAAATTTATATATAAGTGACTCAAAATTGCTAACTATATTTTAATTGTTATTTTAAAACATTTTAGTAATTAAATCAGGATTGAATTGGTACATGGTTAAATGGTTAATGAATGACACACTTATGCAGGACTGGATATATAATAAATGCAACACTGTAAGTATGAAAGAAAATAGTGGATTAATAAATGGTGCTGCTACCATATGTATCTACATAAAAAAAAGAAAAAAAGCAGCTGACCTCACCCACCTATCCCAACCTCAGCCTTCCATGGTTGGGTCAAGCTCATGTTGACAGAGGAAAAAGCTTATACTTCGTAAGAGCTTATTACCACACTGGCCAGGCATTCTTGGTTATTATACTGAACTAGAATTTTAATGCAAAAATAAAATACTGTTTATTATCTAAATATGTCTTGAAAGGCTATGTGGGAAAACATGTAATGGGGAATGGTGGGAAAGAATAAGGTTGCTATCTGCTTACACTACCAGTTCCACCCTGTTCAATAAACCAACTTTACCTCTATTAAAACTGGAATAAAAACAAAGTACATACTAGTATATATCATAAAACAAACATTAACACATTAGAGCCACGTTATGAACCTCTTCTGGAATACCCAGTAAACTGAGACTATAGTTTCTTCTGCCACCTTTGTTTCAACGTCCTTGATGTATCAAGGGTAGGTGTTAAAATGTTTACTTTTTTTTTTTTTTCTTTTTTTGAGACGGAGTCTCGCTCTGTTGCCCAGGCTGGAGTGCAGTGGCACGATCTCGGCTCACTGCAAGCTCTGCCTGCCGGGTTCACGCCATTCTCCCGCCTCAGCCTCCCTAGAAGCTGGGACTGCAGGCGCCCACCACCGCGCCCGGCTAATTTTTTTTTGTATTTGTAGTAGAGACGGTGTTTCACCGTGTTAGCCAGGATGGTCTCGATCTCCTGACCTCATGATCTGCCCACCTCGGCCTCCCATACTTATGGCGATCGGAATTTTCTTAACACTGAAACTCACCAAAATATGGTTTATGAATAAATTTTTGAAAAATTACTAAATAGAACTTTGGCATAACAATTTTACATTTTGTATCTACTTAAATTGACTCATTATACCCATCAGATGTCTTAATAAAGAAATATTAACATTTTGAATTTTGTAATTCAATTCACATTAACAAAACATTGAGTTATCAGTTTAAAAGTGGGGTTACTTGATCTTTGTTTGAAAAGTGGATTATATTTTGAACATTGTTTTTGAAGTCACAGATCGTTTTTTACTGATAAAGTCAGTTTTTCTGTTTGGCCAGATGTGGGCAGCTAGCTTCTGGGTGACATTTTTCAATGCCTTCAAAATTTGGATAGAATTGTTAAAATATAGCTGTAAGGGAGGAATAATCAGGGAGGTAAACCTCTTTCCAAATTAATCAAATAATATAATCCGAAACCATTAGCTCTGAATTTCTCTGTTCTTTTGGATTATTAATTCCCTGGCAAAAAAAATAAATAAATAAACAGAAAAAATTTGAAATGTTAAATGAATGGCTATTTTATTGAAGGAAAAGTTCTAGTTTCCCAACCCAGCTCTCAATACTCTCATCTTTAACAAACATAAACTTACCCTGACATCTTTTTTTCTGCCACTTGATTCCCAATGCAAACCTACTCAACATTGAGCCTCCTTATTATCTATCCTTTAAATCTTCTGTTCAAGTTCTTATTACAATTGCATAATGTAGGACAGCATCTTTCCATTTTAATTTAATCCATTGACTGGATAAGGCCCACCTCAAACTCTTTTTCACCATTTTGCTTTCTTCTGCATTTTCATTGCATGATTTCCCATTTTAGAGAAACAATGGGATACAATACACAAACATCAAACTGAGATGTCAGGAAATCTGAGCTCTCATTTCTAGTAGGTTATGTATCTGTTTTGCTTTCTTTGTTCAGTTGCTTTTAGGGCTTTACTTTAAAAAATCTTCTAACTTTAAATCCTAATAATACACATTATCATTTACACAATCCACATGTGCACATTTAAAATATTAAAACTTAACAATATCACCCCAGCAAAATTGTACTATCTGAAGATTTTTAAAACATTACATAGCACTTAGCATGATATATAGCAATGATTCATGTATTCAAAGCATTAATTATCTAGCATACCAAGAGGGAAATTTTATTTATTTTTTGTTTGCTTGATTTTATTCATTCATTAGTCAGATTTTCCCCAAACACAAACTACATTCTGAGAATAAATTAAAAGTGATAGTACCTTGTTTGGGTTTACTTTAATTTAGTAGCAAGAAATTATATGTTGTGGATCTTCTTGTCTGAGCTCATCTCCATGATATCATGTGAGTAGTTTTAATTTTTTTTTCTCCTTCTAGTCAGGACTTATTGAAGAAAACTTTAAAGACTAGCTATTGTGGACTATCAGGAAAGAGAAGTAGCCCACAACCAGGCTGGCTATAGCTATTGTGGACTATCAGGAAAGAGTAGTAGCTCACAACCAGGCAGGCTTGGCAAGTGGGGATTAATTGATTTTTGTTTGTTTGTTTGTTTGTTTTGGCAACTGGTGTGTAGAAAGGTGATAAGTTTAATAAGACAATTCATATACAATTTTAGTAGCTGAAGGTGTATTTTACACGCACCTTTTTCTCATTTAAAAGCACTATCTACTCACTGTAGACAATTAGAAAGTAGTGATAGGACAATGAAAATCACCTGTAACCATTTTACAGCTGGTGCAGAGGTTCAGCATCAGGATTGGGATGGGAAGGAAAGAAAATTAACAAGAAAATTGAAAGATGGGAAATTAGTGGTGAACGGTGTCATGAACAGTGTCAGCTGTACTTGTAGCTATGAAAAAGTAGAATAAAAATTCCATCATCACTTTGGATAGGAATTAGCTAGGAGAATGAACAAGCTCAGTTGAATGAGAAAATCTCCATACGGCTGCTTTTTTTCTTTTCATTACTGTGTTCAGTGATCTTTATCACAAACATTTTACATGCAGCTATTTCAAAGTGTTGGATTAATTAGGATCATCCCTTTGGTTAATGAATAAATGTGTTTGTACTAATAAAAAAAATCACCCATAACCATAATACTTAAAGGTGACCACTGTTGACATTTGGAGAATTTACTTCTGCTCTTTATTTCCACAAATACATACACATTCACAAAGAGAAAATCCAGCTTAAATTGTTGTTGTGATATCTTATTTCCAATTTTCTTTTGTTTTATTGGATATTATTTTCCCATTTGTTAAAATGCAGCTTTAAAGATTATGGAATTTCTTGTGCAGAAACCCAACAATTGGAAATGAAATTAAAAAGCTAATTTAAACTGCAGCCTTAAACAAAAGGAATTTAGCCCTGTGGTATAAATCAGGTTAACTGTGGGGACTTTTCAACCAAACCTGCAGTTTTCATGCATAAGCTGGGTATCCTGGACCACCACATGGAGAAAAACTGCCAATTAAGAAGACCTGCCTTGAATGCTAAAAAATAAACATTTGAGCATATTTGTTATAGTAGTTTATTCCACCACAACTGAGAGATTAGTGGAATCCATTGTGCCTGTCTTGTGACTCAAACCGAAGTCCATAGTCTACATTGTTTGTCCACAGTAAAAACCGTAGTAAATCATATTCATAAAATTTTGTTTAAATTTAGGCTGATATCTTTCCCCATCTAAAGTTCAGTTAATTCACCTATACGTTTTCATTATCCTTTTATGATGTCAAATGTTATCTGTTTAATCTGTACAAATACTTTGCTTTAAAAAATTCAATCTTCCCATGTGCCAGAACAGAAAGTTCTATGATCATATAAATCATCAAAGTTTTAAAAGCATATAATGAAACTGAAAAAAGCCACTAGGCCCTGAATATTTTTCTTGTATGTTAGATTCGGCAATATAACATTATAGTATAAGTAATCTATCATTTAGCTAGAAGTAGCCTACGAAGATTATGAGCAAGTGCTATGCCTACTCATTGATGAGAGAATTCTAGGTGTTAAAAGATACACTGTGACCAAGTTATTAGTTCAATAGCATAGTGAGTTGTTACTTTGACAAACTCTTGTGGACAGAGAGACCACGACAAATTAGTTCAGTCAGAGCCTAGCTGTTGAACCTAACATGGTAACACAATTCATGAGTAAGCTCAGACTATGTAAATATCTTGAGAAAACAAAGTCATCAGAAACCCTTCCTTTTAGGCATCTGCACTTAGCTGTGTCATCTGTAAAAGAAAAAGAGGGCCATGCTCATCTGGAAATAGTTCCAGTTTGACAAGATTATAAACCAGGATATTATCCTTTATTTTTTTCCTTTTAATTGAAAATTTTTTTAGGTGGTGAGGAGTATGTAAGAGTTTTTGTTTTACCCCAGAGCTAATTTAGGATTCTTGGCCCAAAAATGTCAGTTCGTTTTTACTTAACTCCCAAAGAAACTATTAATTACTCATTGTGCAAGGAGAAAAAGATGCTAATGAACAAGTGTAGTCATTTGATGACAATACATTTCAGGTGTCATGAAGAATCCTAATAGTCTACGTTAGGATACTTTATTAAAAATACAATAAACTAGTTTATTTATTTATTCATTTATTTTTTGAGACAGGGTCCCGCTCTGTCACCCAGTCTGGAGTACAGAGGTGCAATCTTGGCTCACTGCAACCTCCACCTCCTGGGTTCAAGCGATTCTCCTGCTTCAGCCTCCTGAGTAGCTGGGACTACAGGGCCACCACACCTGGCTAATTTTTTGTATTTTTAGTAGAGACGGGGTTTCACCATGTTAACCAGGATGGTCTTGATCTCCTGACCTTGTGATCTGCCCACCTTGGCTTCCCAAAGTGCTGGGATTACAGGTGTGAGCCACCGTGCCCAGGCTAAACTAGTTTATTTTTAAAGAAAATGTTAAAATTCCTATGCTGGTAGCAGTTTGGACTCAAAAGATGCAAAATAGCATATATTAATGTAAGGAATTAGCAACTGTTGATATATAATATTAACACATTTTAAGGAGCTGGCATATAAATATATAATATACAAACACTATACAAAAATTTAATAATAGTATATATATAGTAACTTGAGGTTAATAGTATATATCAGAAATTACTATACTGCTGGTATATATGTATATATGTTATATATAAATATATATATTAAAATGATGGGCCACAAGTTGAAGGCACTAATAGGCAAATTAACCAAAGTGGCAAATACCTCCAGTTTTATATGCATTTTCAGTGGAATGGTATGAATGGCTCTTTAAATAAAGAAAACTCATATCCACATCTGCTGACATGCTTTTCAGGATTTTTGTTTGACTACTGCCAATTTGAATCCCTAGACTGGAATAAACGCAGAGCCATCTGTTCTGATGCGCCTGCTGTGACAGTACTAGGCTCACTGAAGCAATTGTTTCTATTACCCTTAGTATTCATGATAAGCTTCCCTTTGCGGCATCCCTTCGGAATAAATTGAGCCTAACTCGTATCAGGAATATAATTAGGTTAAGAGCTTGGTAAAACTTCCATGTGCCAGAATAGTTTCAGTCTTTCAGCTCCAAGCTTCCAGAAATGTTTATTGGTGGTTTGAACTTTTTATGCTATTCCCAGTAATCTTCCCCTTCATTAGCAAATGACTTCTGCAAGTAGAATACTGGGGCATCTTTAATTATATATAATGCCTGAACTGAAAGAAAATAGAAAAATAATGGTATATCGAAGCCAATTTTCGTTGAGCTTTGTTGTAATTAATTTAAACTAAATAGTACTGTGGATGCTATTCTGTCACTAGTCTTCTCAAGGTAGGAATGTTTAAAAGAGGAGGCTGAGTTTAGGCATGTTATTCAGTGTTGTCACATGAAGACCACAAAAAATATTTATCAGACAGAGCCTGTGAAATAAACACAATTTTGCTGACATAATACAGAAGCTTCTGGGATGCAAGAAATCATTTTAATCAGAGACTGTGCATATCTGATCTAGGTTATTCTGAAGAACACAAAAAACATACTAGTGGCTATTCTGTTATTAGAATATAAAAGAGCAAAAAAGAGCTTTATAAGGTTGAGATGTAAGTAATTTGTATAATTATAAAAATATAAAAATTATATGAAGGTACATATTTGAAATCATTGGAAAGATCAACTTTCCATCAAGATAGGTTAATCATTTGAAATAAGGAAAGTGAGATGGGATACGCTAACACACCTTTGAAAATATAATCCACATAATTTAAGGCATTGTCATTACATTAACAGTGAAGATGCAGAAGCCCAGCAGATATGATGAAAGTCAGACAAGGGGAAGATGCTCAGGTTGCCAGAGGCTAGACTGGCTTAAGGGGCTAGAAAACAACATGTTCTGATACAAGTTGAGATGCCGTGTAAAAGCCAGAAAGCTTGTGGTTTTCAGAAGCCAGGGGTCTGTAAGCCAAGAAGTTAACTGAGATGCAAAACAACAAGCTGGTGACAACAACGGGTATCCAAAATCCAAAAAGGCAGATCAATCAAAACAATGATGGAAATAAGGGTATCCAAAATCCAAAAAGATAGATCAGTCAAAACAATGACGGAAATAGCAAAAGATGGGAGGTCATGTCTGGCTTGTTTACAACTATAGCATAGTGGCAGGGTGAAGCAGTGCCTGTTATATCATTGGTAGTTAATGACTGATGAAGGGATAAATAGATGGAGAATTGAATTATCCAGCTGTAGATACAGTATGTAAAGAAGCAGTGTATACCTAGGTCTCCAGTAAAGGTAAAGTGGTGCCTGGTAGTGTGCTGGAAATCAGTAAACTAGGGGCTGAGAAGTGCTTGGATGTGGCCGTTGAGGTGAGGAACCACTGGGCCTAGCTCCAGGCACTCTGGAGGGAGGTTCAAAAATGGTGGGATTAGGAATCTGGGGAAGGTTGGAGGTCAGATGGAGAGAAACGGAAAGGGAGGTCTTAGAAATCTAAAAGCCATTGAGACAAAGGAAAATCAGAATCCAAAGCTTTGATGCCTTGGGTCAAACCCTTCATTTATTTTTTTTCAAATGAGCATTAGCTATTGGTTGTTAGAAGATGCAGACAGGTGCCCCTGGTCTGTTGTTGAGGTTGAACCTTATCTAACTTAGTGTGCTGTGTACCCAGTGGTTAGGAGCATAAATGCAAAGAAAACACAAACCACCACTTACTTCTCGTCCTTGTCCCAGTCTCAGTGCCTGGAGAGATGAATGTTGCAGTGTGACAGGAAGCTGTCTTGAGACACAAGGGCTACCTCATGAAAGGTATGTACTTTATCCAGGGAGAGCCTTAGCATACAACAGAACTCCTTAAGGTGTAGTCTCTGGATAAGCAGTGCCATCATCATCTGAGCATTTTTTGGTAATTCAGAGTCACCGGCTCCATCCTAGACTTACTGAATTAGAAATTCTGGGGTTGTGGACAGTAATTTGTATTTTCTAAAGTCCTTCACGATATATGGTGATTCTGATGCACATTAAAATTTGAGAACCACTGTCTTAGAGGAAAACAAACACTAGCAATGGGTAAGGAGCAAACTTCATGATAATGGTAAAGCATGTTTCTGGCTAGATATAGATAAATGGAAACAAACATACAGAGTCACCATTGAATCTGAAACCTAAAAAGTAGGAACAGAGCTTCCAGGATTCTGTATCTGAGATTCTTCTATATGAGGAGACAGGTTTGAAAACTACTATTAAATTGGTAACGGGGTCTTGTATTTAGCCTCTAAAGAGATAAATGTGCCTGGCTGTAGGGAGATGTTTTTTTTTTCTTTGAGGAATATCACATATTTGCAAGGGCAATAGTTAGGTTTCACACTTGCTAATATAAAAAGATTTCTAATTATAATTGCTCACAGTGTTACAGTTAATAAAGAACAGAATAGGTTAAAGAGAAGTCTGAGTTTTTTTAAGTGACTTTTCTAAACTATAAAGTACTAAGCCCACAAGCCCCATCTAGTGGCCTCTGTACCAAGAGTTCAGTAAACGTTTCCAAAGGGGCGCCCACCAACTTTAGAACCGCAGATAAAACTGAAAGCAATTCAGCTCTTAGATAGCTGGACTACAGCAGTAGGCATCACAGTGATGTCATCATAACCTCCTATTCAAATGTTCTTCAACTTTATTAGAACGCACTACTAAATTTTGACATAATCTAGAATCAGAAAAGAAGCAAACACTTATTGAATTCCAATTAGGTGTCAAGCCCTATTTAGATGCTTTTATATATGTATAGATACAAAATATGGTATAGATGTAAACATAACTATAGCTAGATATCGATAAACAGAAACAAACATACAGGGTCACCATTAAATCTGAAAACAGGTTAATAAATATATGTTTCACTAATATGCCAACATATAATAAAATAATGTTTCCAGAAATTCTAATGAAAAAATCAAAGTTCGGCCAGGCACAGTGGCTCACGCCTGTAATCCCAGCACTTTGGGTGGCCAAGGCGGGTTGATCACCTGAG
Source organism: Homo sapiens (assembly GCF_000001405.40). Lineage (NCBI taxonomy): Eukaryota > Metazoa > Chordata > Mammalia > Primates > Hominidae > Homo > Homo sapiens. The sequence continues at coordinate 92,175,083 of NC_000013.11, read as the reverse complement.
GTCGGGAGTTTGAGAACAGCCTGACCAACATGGAGAAACCCCGTCTCTACTAAAACTACAAAAAAATTTAGCAGGACGTGGTGGCGCATCCCTGTAACCCCAGCTACTCGGGAGGCTGAGACAGGAGAATCGCTTGAACCCAGAAGGCAGAGGTTGCGATGAGCTGAGAAGGGGCCACTGCACTCCAGCCTGGGCTATAAGAGCGAAACTCTGTCTCAAAAATGAAGGTTCAAGGGAGGACTTTTCGAAGTCTCACAGTGTGTTATTTTAATGGTACTCTGCACTTTACGATAACATTTTAAATTCTATGACATCGCTATTTGTTTTTTCTTCTGCACACTATTTTAACCTTGAGGAATAGAACCGTATTTTTGACTAATCTGTTTTTTATTCCTGATGCCCAGCAAGGTGCTCAATAAAGTGATTAATACTTTTTGCTGTTTTTAAGTAAAGAAGTGTATAGGTGGATAAATGTATGAATGAAGTAATGAGTTATTTAAATTTTGTTTTTTTTGTTGTTGTTGTTGTTTTTGTTTTTTTTTTTTCTTTGAGTTGGAATCTCGCTCTGTCGCCTAGGCTGGAATGCAGTGGTGCGATCTCTGCGCACTGCAAGCCCCGCCTCCCGGGTTCACGCGGTTCTCCTGCCTCAGCCTCCCGAGTAGCTGGGAATACAGATGCCCGCCACCACACCCGGCCATTTTTTTTTGTTTTTTTTTTTGTGTTTTTAGTAGAGACAGGGTTTCACCGTGTTAGCCAGGATGGTCTCAATTTCCTGACCTCGTGATCCACCTGTCTCGGCCTCCCAAAGCGCTGGAATCACAGGTGTGAGCCACCACACCCGGCCCAAATTTTGGCCTTTCTATTTAATATATACATGAAATAAATATACATAGACACATATTTTTTTAATGACGTAAAGATGACTTTTATCAGCAAGCCTAAGAATATCCAAAGATGTCTTTTCTTTTCCTTTCTTTTTGACGGGGTCTCTCACTCAGTCACCCAGGCTAGAGTGCAGTGGTTTCACCTTGGCTCACTGAAACCTCTGTCTCCTGGACTCAAGTGATCCTCCCACCTCAACTTCCTCAGTAGCTGGGACTACAGGTGGGTGCCACCACACCCAACTAATTTTTGTATTTTTAGTAGACATGGGGTTTCACCACGTTGGCCAGGCTTGTCTCAAACTCCTGACCTCAAGTGATCCACCTTCCTCGGCTTCCCAAAGTGCTGGGAATTAGGTGTGTGCTACCAAGCCTGGCCTAGATGTCTTAATATTGCCTTCCACATTCTGCAAATATTTGTTGGCTCATAATAATAAAAGTATATTGATTACATCAAGGGTCTTAGTAAGGGGAGATGAGTGTTCATATAAATAATTATTATATACTATAGAATGTGAGACGTGGCACACAAGTGACACTAGGTTTTTGCTCATTGCATTTTAATGAAAGAAATGGTTTTCTGTTAGAGGTACTAAAGAACACTTTATTAAACCAACTCCTAAAAAATTAGCAAAATTTGAATAAGTAATTTTGATAGAAAGTATTTCATTAAGAGGAAGAACAAAAGGAAAGGGTTTGTCCAGGCAGGTGCCAGACTCCCCACTGAGTGTCCTCATGGCACATGAGGTACATGAAACAAAAGCACATGTACAAAAGCAATATGGCAGTAAAATCTGAAAGTTTAATGGGGTCAGAGCAGCAGAGATATCAGGGTCTTCACATACCACAGTCAACATGAAGGACTTCATTTCCTAAAAACCCAGAATCGACACACCTAAGCGGAAAAGCATCAGGCTAAATGAAAGGTGGCCAGGAAAACAAATTTAATGACCTAGGTGAGAATGGCCGATCTCTGTTTTTAATGTGGGTAATCCCACTTTGAAAAAAAAATCCATTAATGACTGAGTCAAATGGGAGTTTAGTTGCACTCACACTCAGTTCATTGATCACAGCATATAGACAACAAAGGATTTCCCCTTTGGACTGGTCTTACAGATTGATTGAATCTATAAGCAAAAATTACTTTAACCAAAAAAAGCTTTGGTGGTGATACAGATAACATGTAATAAGACTTAAGAGTTGCTCGTTTGACTGTTGCAACGTTTCTTATATTGTTAACAGGTATAGTCAAATTAAAATAATTGCCTAAATTTTTTAATTAAAAAAACCCTAGAACTATAAGAGCTTTCTTTTTAAATAAAAAGGACAGGAATGGATCTTAATTGCTTTAGATTGTTTAATAACAGCATTAAACTGCTGAAATTGGAAAAAATAGTTTCAGATATCATGTTGCACATTTCCAGTTTCAATGGAAATAAAGTAGCAGTGAGTAAACCTTTTCAAACAACATATAGGAGAGTATCTCTTTTAAGTAATGAGAAGAACTCTCCTTTTATAAATGGCTCTTTCTCTGAAAATATTTTCAAGGTGACACATAAGTTAAATGAAAGAAGCAGTAGATGAACAGGGGAGACATAAAATGTATTGTGACTATGAGCACTTGAAAATTTTCCAATACACTGAGATATCCTCCCTTCTTTTTTACCACTTTATTTTACTCTCTAGAACTCTTTCAAAATTGATTCTTCTTCTCAGATCCCTCAAAACTGAATTTAAAGTTTCATCTAAGAGTCAATATAAAAGGTTATGTTTCATTTGCTATTTTTAATACTTTGAGTCATCCCGTGGTTTTACCAATCCTTTAAAACATTTCATTTTGGCACTCATACCATAATGATCCTTAAATGGCTGTGATTTCTATGATCTCATTTAGGATCATCTTTTTCATGTACCTTAGGGTCAACTGCACAACCCAACTTGACCCCACTACTCCAAACTGGAAATTCTGTTCTTCCAAATACACTCTCAATTTTATAAACACACAAGTACTCTCCTTCTCATCCATCCACCCATTCAACCATCCATTGATCCATCTACCCATCTGTTCATTCTTTTATTCATTTAGGAATGTTTTAAATACTATTATGCTTCTTAGAGCTGGCAATACTACATTTTAACTAGAAATACACAGAACTAACAATCTATTGTAGGTACAAACAAGCGAACTGGCATTTAAAATCTGGTTAATGGGTTCTACGGCAATGGTAGGCTTTGGGAGCATGTGTGAATGGAAATCCCAAGTTGGTAGTACAAGGAAGCTCTCTTGGGAAATTGACTGAATGATGGTAACAGTCATTAAGATAGGAAGCAGGTTTCAGGATGAGGGTAGCAGGCATGAAGAGCTCAGTTATGGATGTGGCAAATGAATATATGTGTGTGAGTTTCAGAAGAAACATTTGGGTTAGAGACATACAGGTCTCAATTACCTATGCATTAAACAGGATTCTTCTATCACTCAGGAAAAATACAGAGTGAGAAGTGAAAGGACCTAATAGGATTCCCAATGAATAACTAAATGAAAGGGATGGGTCAAGGAAAAACATAATTCAAGAAACTGAAGATTGACATTGTCAATTGTGGAAAATGAACAACTAATACAAAATTGAGGTGTGACTACAGGCTGACTCTGGCAACACCATTTTTAGTTGAGAAGGGGAAATGGATTGAGGAGCAAAAGAATATCAAGAACAGTAATTTCAGAATGTATACAACTATTTCAGGAAGTGTGTGGCTGTGATAGGATAAAGTAGTAAAAGTCAGTGGAGGAGATTATACATTTAGGAAGGTGAATATAGGGGTGTGTGTGTGTAGTATATTTATTGACTTTTCAAAAAGAGAAGACTGAGATAATCAACATGTTTTCTAAAAGGGCATAATTTATTGCAGGAAGAGTTTGAAGATACAGAGGCAAAAATGGACAATTTATAAAGCAAAGTCTCTGAGGATGCAACTGGGTCTGGTACATAGAACAAAAAAGTGGTCCTTGACAGGAGGTAGGGCACTGCTATTACCCAGCAAAAGGAAAAGAGGAAGGGGGTGAGCAGGAATGGAGGCAGATATGAATATCTTGTGGAACAAAGTTGAGGAAATTTCCATATGATAGTAAGGTAGTTAGAGAGAAGTGTCTTGATAAAATATTTAAGAAGAATAGAGTAGGTGTGTAGCAGCTTCTACACAGTACATGAAGGATAACTGACTGGGGGACTTAATATTAAGTCCCATAATCTTAAAATATTTCATAAATTTTATACTTTGACAACTCTACTATTGTGTCTCCTACTCCATGTGTATTCCATTTTTTCTCATTCTACTTCCAAGGAAAATGGAGAAAAACAATTCTTCAGCAAATGTTGCTGACTCTGAATTTAAAAAACAACAGTTTCTAGTAGAAACTGTGAACATGCGAAGTTTTGGGAAAGTTGGTAGTTAAATAGTCTATAATAGAAAATCTTGCTTTAGCTGGGCATGGTGGCTTACGCCTGTAATCCCAGCACTTTGGGAGGTTGAGGCAGGCGGATCACCTGAGGTCACGAGTTCAAAACCAGCCTGGCCAACATGGTGAAACCCCGTTTCTACTAAAAATACAAAAATTAGCTGGGCGTGGCTGAGTGGCCTAGAATCCCAGCCACTCAGGAGGCTGAGGCAGGAGAATCACCTGAACCTGGGAGGTGGAGGTTCCAGTGAGCCAAGATCACACCACTACACTCCAGCCTGGGTGAAAGAGTGAGACTCTGTCTCAAAAAAAAAAAAAAAAAAAAAAAGCAAAGAAAAGACAAAAAAAGAAAAACTTGCTTTGTGGGTATAGGAAGTCCTATCTTAGAAAAAAATGTAATTAGCATCATCAGAAAATAAATCCTTGATAATATTTTAAAATATACAGCAATATCAATTAAAGAATCTTATGCATGGATTGTGTAGGACATCAGAAATTCAAAACAAAAGACTTTCTATACAAAATTATAAATATAAACATAGAAACTAGAGTAACCCTCATTGAAGAAAATCTTAAGGTTTTTTTTAAAGTTCTCCATGTATTTTGAAGCAAATATATTCTTTCAATATGTTAGTTTTATCAAATTGCAAATTTAGCATGCCACTGATATTTCAAACATTTTCCTAGAAATATTCTTATAAGTGGAAATCTTATTTGTAAAATTTCTCCTGTTTATTCCATTGTAATATTTTATGCTATTGATTATAAGAATGTGATAGATATATAAAAATAATATTTTAAATTAAGAAAATATCTTCAACCAAGTTTGTAAGGAAACTTTCTAAAATGCTGAACAACACACACCAAGTAACATAGTTCCAAATGTTCACAGCCTAAATAAAATAAATAAACTCAATGTATTAGTAAGGACAGGTTTTTTAATTTTCTCACTAAGAACACCTATGCTGTCTCAAATTATAAAATAATTTTTTGCCTTTACTTTACAGCTGTTACTAGATGACTCTTCTCTGTCTTTTTTATAACTACCTTCTGGAAAAAATACCCATAGACACTGGATTGTACGTTTTAATTTTCCTTGTTATCATATAAAGTTTATTTTTAAAAAGCTAATATTGAATAAAAGGTAAGAAATTCAAAGTTTATTTTATATGTAAAGATTTGTAGTATCCAAGTCCATCTTCAAAGTGCCAGTATTCTATTTCAATGATTTGTCTTGTCATATTTTAGTAATTATAACACTGTCTTTGAAATAAAAGGTAGACTAAGACAAAATGAACAATGTTCTGAGAAAAACAATGTTCTGATGCATTTTTGTATCATGGGAAACGTGAATTTTTAAACCTCAAATATATTTAACGATGGTTTTAAAGGTTAGATTGCAAATTCTTTTTTAAGTTCCAGGATACATGTACAGGATGTGCAGGTTGGTTACATAGGTAAACATGTGCCATGGTGGTTTGCTGCACCTATCAACCCATCACCTACGTATTAAGCCCAGCATGCATTAGCTATTTTTTCCCAATGCTCTCCCTTCCCGCCACCCCACCCCTGACAGGCTCCAGTGTATGTTGTTCCCCTTCCTTTGTCCACGTATTCTCATTGTTGAGCTCCCACTTAGAAGCGAGAACATGCAGTGTTTGGTTCTCTGTTCCTGAGTTAGTTTGCTGAGGATAATGGCTTCCAGCTCCATCCATATCCCTGCTAAGGACATGATCTTGTTCCTTTTTATGGCTGCGAAGTATTCCATAGTGTATATGTACCACATTTTCTTTATCCGGTCTATAACTGTTGGGGTGGGTTGATTCTATGTCTTTGCTATTGTGAATAGTGCTGCAATGAACATATGCATGCATGTATCTTTATAATAGAATGATTTATATTCCTTTTAGTATATACCTAGTAATGAGATTACTGGGCCAAATGGTATTTCTGGCTCTAGGTCTCTGAGGAACTGCCACACTGTCTTCCACAATGGTTGAACTAATTTACCTTGCCACCAACAGTGTAAAAGCATTTCTATTTCCACACAGCCTTGCCAGCATCTGTTGTTTCTTGACTTTTTAATAATCACCATTCTGACTGGTGTGAGATGGTATCTCGTTGTGGTTTTGATTTGGATTTCTCTAATGATCACTGATGTCGAGCTTTTTTTCATATGTTTGTTGATTACATAAATGTCTTTCAAGAAGTATCTGTTCATGTCCTTTGCCCACTTTTTAATGGCACTGTTTGCTTTTTTCTTGTAAATTTAAGTTTCTTATAGATTTTGGACATTCGAACTTTGTCAGATAGATAGATGGCAACAATTGTCTCCCATTCTGTAGGCTGCCTGTTCACTCTGATGAGAGTTTCTTTTGCTGTGCGGAAGCTCTATAGTTTAACTAAATCCCATTTGCCAATTTTTGCTTTTGTTGCAATTGCTTTTGATGTTTTCAATATGAAATCTTTGCCAGTGCCTATGTCCTGAAAGGTATTGCCTAGATTTTCTTCTAGGGTTTTTATAGTTTTGGGTTTTACATTTATGTCTTTAATCCATCTTCAGTTAATTTTTGTATAAGGTATAAGGAAGGGCCAAGTAGACAGACTCCTCCATCTAGAAACCCAGTGTTAGGACTCTGTGGCTTTTTATCAGGGCCATGATTGGAGAGAAGAAAAGATAGTCAACGTTGAGATGCAAGTCAGTTGAAATCAGTTTTGACCCTCACCTGGTGACAGCTATCCCAGTAAGCTTGCCCTCAGTTATGGAAGGTCATGTCATCACCCAAGGTTTGGACCTCCTCGTTGGATCTAACGATGTGTCACTTCTACTTACAGGCCTTCCAGTTTGAGATTAAAAACTATCTTTTTTTTTTTTTCTTGGTCCTAAGTTGAAAACTGATACTGAACTAAAATGAGTAAAATTAAATTGAGCTACAAAGTCCATTTGTTAAACAACAGATGACCTTTTCTGAAAGGCTTGCATTCTGGTAATCCACATGATTCAGACCAGTAGAGTGGGATCTGGAAGCTTTTGTGTTTATGGGTTATCAGGAGTCTAGCTTAGTCTTTAACATGCTGAAAGCTACTCCCTAAATCTATTTCTGTATTTCAGAAACTTTAAAATCACAATTTCTTTTTCATTGTTTTTAGTCTCAATTCCTGTTGTTTCTTTTAAAACCATTTATTTTACTCAAAAGAGAAAACAGAAAACATCATTTGTATAATATCTCTTCATACATTGTTACTTCTGTTCTATTTTCTAGATCTCTTTCTCTTCCTCAAGTCTATTTTTTACAGCTTCAATCATTTGCATTGCTTTTACTCATTTCATTTTAAAACCCTGTGGAATCTGAAGTTTTATATCATTTGCAAACTGAGCTTATTCCTTCCCAACATTAAAAACCATATACAATTTGTTTTTATAAAAGAATTCTCACTATACATCAATGCCCTGAAAATGGTGAATACTTAAGCGTTGTAAATATTGATCATGGACTATAACTTGCTATAGCCTACAGGATTACAATGAGTTGTTAACACTCCTCAGTGCTGCTTCTACAATTAATTTTCACTTCTCTGATAGAATAATCAATATTTTAGGGTCTTAGATGTAAGACTTTTTGTATAAAACAAAGCACATACTTAACTATGAAAAAAATGTAAAATCCTTATTTACATTCCATTCCCTACAAACGAATTCCATTACTCATTTGAGAAGGAAATTTAACTGTTCAGGATAGGGCGTGTGTATATGTGTGTGTGTGTGTGTGTGTGTGTGTGTGTGTGTGTGTGAGAGAGAGAGAGAGAGAGAGAGAGAGAGAGAGAGACTGAGACTTATGCCTTATTTTGGATACAGATCAGACTGCAATATTCCCAACAGAACCAAAGCTATTATTTCTAATGTGATACACTAAGATCACACAAATGAGTATTGCTTTCTTTCCAATAAGTTCCCACCATTATTCAGTCTTCTCAACTCCTGAAGAAAGAAGACTGTGATACTCAAGTGTTAAACAGCCCTTCCCTCATAAGATCACTCATCAAGGGTATTCTATTCTCTTTTCAAGTTCCTCTTTGGAATTATTCAGCACAAGCACAAACCTGTAAACAGTCAATGGCAATACAGTCTTATGGAGTCACCTCACAGTTCTCTTGGTGTACTGTAGCCTTTGATTCAGCAGATTAGGGCTAATGAAACTACCTTTGACAATGGAAGTTTCTCCGGTGGTCTTTATCTGATGGGTTTATGTACTAAAAATGGCTTTCAGCAATATCAATTATACCCAGAATACTTTCAAAGTAACAACCATTATTTTAAAATATGCCCTTTCCTGAAACATAGTATTTGAGAAATGAAATGGATTTTGTGAGCATTTCTTGATTTTATAGGGCTAGCAAATGAGATCTAAGACTTGTTAAGGTCCTGGACATTAGCAGAACTGCAATTAGAGGTCTTGTTACTTCATGTATTTCCAGTGTACTTCCTCCATGAAGCCTATTACTTTAGTGTAAAGTTCCATAGATGGTCCTCTCAAAAATATAATCAGGGAAATCTTTGCTGTACATGAAGCATATCACTGAACATTAATGTTCTTAAATTACTTGTTCAGGTATTTAGACTAATATTTATAAATACCCTTTCCAACAATACATTTCTTTAAGTAAGTTTCTTCTGCAATTTTCTATTTCGCCCACATACACAAAAAGAATTTCAAAACATTTTAAAATATAGAGTGAAGTTTTTTATACACAATCTGCAGAGACAATCCTAACGTTATTCTTGGCTGAAGTCCTATTTGTTGGCCATGGATCTTGGCTCTGCATCATGCTCACTGAAACTAATGTAACCCAGGGCAAAGAATTCAATGCATCTGTGCCAAAAATTGGCAATATTACCTATCATATAGAGTTTTAAGATTACATATGTTAATACATGGATATATCCAGAACAGGCCTGGATACTAGAATTGACTGTTATTCAATAAATCTATCAAATAGCTTTTGAGATTATTTAAAAGCTAGATACGATCTGGCTCTGTGTCTCCACCCAAATTTCATTTTGAATTGTAATCCAAATTGTAATCCCCATGTGTTAGGGGAGGGGCCTCATGAGAGGTGACGGAATCACGGGGGTGGTTCTCCTATGCTGTTCTCATGATAGTGAGTTTGTTCTCAGGAGATCTGATCATTTTGTGAGGGGCTTTTCCCTCCTTTGCTCCACATCTCTCATTCTCTCTCCTGTCACCCTGTGAAGAAGTGCCTTCTGCCATGATTGTAAGTTTCTGAGGCCTCCCCAGCCATGTGGAACTGTGAATCAATTAAACCTTTTTTCTTCATAAATTACCCAGTCTCAGGTATTTTTTCATAGCAGTGTGAAAACAAACTAATACAATAAATTGGTACCGGAAACTCTTAAAAGCATTCAGTTTTATTCATTTACAAAGATATGATTTGGAATTGGAACTTATTTTTAAAAGGGAAGTAGAGCATAAACGTTCAGAAAATTTGCAGCCTGATGATCCAATAGAAAAGAAAAACCCATTTTCTGAGGAGAAATTCAAGCAGACTGCAGAAATTTGCACAAGTAATGAGTAGCCAAATGTTAACTGCCAAGACAATGGGGAAAATGTCTCCAGGGCATGTCAGAAACTTTCACGGCAGCCCCTCCCATCACAGGCCTAGAGGATCAGGAGGGAAAGACGGTTTTGTGGGCCAGGCCCAAGGGCCTTATCGCTTTGTGCAGTCTCAGGATTTGGTTTCCTGTCTCCCAGCTGTGGCTAAAAGGGGCCAACGTACAGCTCAGGCCATTGCTTCAGAGGGTGCGAACCCCAAGCCTTGGTGGCTTTTACATGGTGTTGAGCCTGTGGATGCATAGAAATTAAGTTTGGGAACCTCTGTCTAGATTTCAGAGGATGTACAGAAATGCCTGGATGTCCAGGCAGAGGTGCTGCAGGGGCAGAGCCCTCATGGAGAGCCTCTGCTAGGACACTGTGGAAGGGAAATGTGAGGTCAGAGTCCCCACACAAAAAATCCCCACTGGGGCACTATCTAGTGGAGCTGTGAGAAGAGGGCCACCATCCTCCAGACCCCAGAATGGTATATCCACTGACAGCTTGCACTGTGTGCCTGGAAAAGCCACAGACACTCAACACCAGCCTGTGAAAGCAGTCAGGACGGAGGGCCTGTATCCTGCAAAGTCGAAGGAATGAAGCTGCCCAAGACCATGGGAACCCACCTCTTGCATCAGTGTGACCTGGATGTGAGAGATGGAGTCAAAGGAGAACATTTTGGAATTTTAAGATTAAATGACTGCCCTATTGGATTTTGGATTTGCATGGGAACTGCAGCCCCTTCATTTTGGCCAATTTCTCCCGTTTGGAATGGGTACATTTATCCAATGTCTGTACCCCCACTGTATGTTGCTTTTGATTTTACAGGCTCATAGGTAGAAGGGACTTGTCTTGTCTTATATGAAACCTTGGACTTGAACATTTGGGTTAATGCTGGAGTGAGCTAAGATGTTGGGGGACTGCTGGAAAGGCATGCTTGTGTTTTGAAATGTGAGGACATGAGATTTGGGAAGGGCCAGGGGCAGAATGATATGATCTGGGTCTGAGTCCCTACCCAAATTTCATCTTGAATTGTAATCCCCACATGTTGGGGAAAGGACCTCTTGGGAGGTAACTGAATCATGGGTGCAGTTCCCCTGTGCTCTTCTCATGATAGTGATTGAGTTCTCTTGAGATCTGATGGTTTTGTGAGGGGCTTTTCCCACCTTTGCTCTGTACTTCTCTCATTCTCTCCTGCCACCCTGTGAAGATGTGCCTTCTGCCATGATTGTAAGTTTCCTGAAGCCTCTCTAGCCATGTGGAACTGTGAGTCAATTAAACCTCTTTTCTTTATAAATTACCCAGTCTTGGGTATTTCTTCATAGCAGTGTGAGAACGAATACAAAATTCAATTTTCATATTTTAATTTGCATTTTATGATCAACAAACTTCATCTTTGAAATAGGAAATTTGTACTGTCTTTACTATTCTCATTGTTCTTCACTGAACTTGAACAAGTTTTGCTGAAGCTACATCTAGGAACAGTAGGTGTAGCTAGTGATGACAAGTATTCTTCAATAACAAAGAGATGCTAAAGTAGAATCAACCCAAATAATTATATAATAGCCTCCATATTCTGCATGTTGGGGAAATAGAATACTCAGTAGAAATTCTCATTAATTTTTACTGTACATGTTGTGACTTTCCTATTTCTTTCCATCTTTTTTTTTTTTTTTTTTGAGATGGAATCTCACTGTGTTACTCAGGCAGGACTGCAGTGGTGCAATCTCGGCTCACTGCAACCTCCACCTCCCAGGTTCAAGCTATTCTCCTGCATCAGTCTCCTGAGTAGCTGGGACTACAGACATGCACCACCATGCCTGGCTGAGGTCTGTATTTTTACTAGAGATGGGGTTTCACCATGCGGCCAGGCTAGTCTGAAACTCCTGACCTCAGGTGATCCGCCCACCTCGGACTCCTCAAGTGCTGGGATTACAGGCGTGAATCACCATGCCCAGCCCCATCAAATTTATTCTTATCAGTTTCATTTTATTCTAGTGTAATTTTATCTTATTATATTCCCTATGATGGTTTCAAAACACTTTCCTTCACTCATTCATATATTCATACATTAACTTAACATAGACTTTTCTGAGCATCTTTTTTCATGCAGTATATTTGATCCCAAGAATGTAATGACGAATATGGGGATGATTTTTTAGAAGCTCATAGTCTATGAAAAAATCAGCTAAATTCAGTGTAATTATATATATTATGTATAATACATATAATTTTATAAACACACACACACAAGTGCTAAAGTTAGCAGGTGAGGGAGTGACCAAGTTCATTTCAAGAGGTGCAGAAATCACCACAGAAAAAAAGTATTGAGTTGTCATTTATGTCATCAACTTATTTGTCTGGATTTCTGTGATAGGCCCTTAACTTTTATGACCACATACATTCTTGACACTGTAATTTGAAAGGTTTTAATACATGAGTTGGCTCATGCCAGTCCCCAGCCTACATTGTATATAACAACATTCTGGAATTTCATGTAGATCCCAAGAATCCCCAGCATTCTCTAATTCTTAGGTTTCTGTTTCTGCTTCACGTTTTTGTAGTGATTGCTCCCCTGGTTATCCATAACCCTATTAATAACTGCTTCTTCAGGTGTCAGATGATGTTTTAATTCCTTTGAGAAGCCTTCATGTTATCCCTAAGACTGAGATACCTTCCTGTGTGTTCCCACAAGATCTGCTTTTCCCAAATAAAACCTTTCACACTGCATTGTAATTTTCCCTGATTACTCTTCTTTAGCCCCCAGAGGCCGAAATCTGTATGGTGACTAGCACCAATTAAGGACCAATTAATAATTTGTTGAATGAATAAATGAATGGATGGATGAATAAATGGATGTATGAATGTGGAGATAAGGGGCATTTCAAACGAAAAATAACCATGATGTTGGAACTATAAAGAAGCTGTAAGTGACTCTAATTTGAATTGCAAAATTTGTATTAAATGAGTACAATGTTCTTATGTGAGCATCATAATGCAGTTTAGACTTCAGGGAAAAAACAGGATTCCATAGAATATACTCATAACATAAAGGTATGGAACAATAATTATGACAAAAAATCTTATGATACAAAATCCATACTATTTTGCAAATTTATAACCAGAGAACTACATTTAGTTTCATATATATATATATATATATATATATATATATATATATATGGCTATATATTACTTAATAGGCAAATATAATTATTTATATTCTTAAAAATTAGCATAAAACATTAAAGTTATAAAGAAATTAAAGGAACTCAAACATAATCAATAAAAACTATCCCCAAGCAATACCTATTGTATTAATGTATCTCCTCCAAAATTGAGACATTGTATATTAATCTAGAAAATGATACTCTTAAATTCAGTACTTTACACTTCAGCTTAACAATTAGCACTTAATAATTACTTTCGGATTATTAATTTTCACGCAAAATTACACATTAAACTAATGCAAAATATTCTAGTCAGGTCTCCACTAAGTGAAAATGTGAAAGAGTTATTTATATAATTCACAAGTACCAATGATTGAAGAAAACTATACTTATCAAATTTACTCTGTATTTTAACTCAGTTTTGATCTTTTGAATATACACATACTTATTATTTTTGTTTCTGAATAATATTCTTGGCTAAAATTAATGTCAATATTTTCAATTCATTAGAAAATCTGGTTTTTAATGTTAATTAAGATGTGTCTTAGAGATGTGTGGATTACATGCAGGCATTCTTGCACTTCAGAACACATTCATTAAATGCCTCATGTTTGGAGGCACTGTGGCAGGGACTGTGAGGCAGTTGTTCTCAAGCTTTATTGGAAATAGTTATTATTTAGTATGCTTGTTAAATATCCATTTCTGGGATCTACCACTGGAAATGTTGATTCACTATTTCTGGCTAGAACTCTATACTCTGTGTTTAAACAAGCACAGAGATTAATCCGATGTCATTCTGATGCAGGTTATATACTCCATGATCAAGAATAGTTCTGTGGCATATAGACAGATAAAAAGATGCTTCCTGACTTTCCCTAGACAATTTTACAACTATTATGGTTAGTACAACTCATAAAAAAAAAAAAAAAACACTTTTGAGCGAGCCACAGAAACTAATAAAGGTTTTGGTGCTGGGTGCAGAAATAGAACCATACTTTACAAGATTAAAACTAGTTGGTATGCAGGATGTTGAAGAGACGCTTGACCATATCCTACAGAGTTAATTCAAATATTCCAAGTCTAGGATGACCTGAAATTAGTAATAGTGAAGGAGAGAGACTTGGAATTTGTGTTCAAAAACCAATGGCATGCTGCGTCTTCTTATTGTCAGTCCCATTTGCTTTTTATTATTCATTTATGAATTAATTGCCTTGCCTCAACTTTTCCCCTGTTCTGTAGAGTTGGCTCTATGGAAGACCCAGTTAGTCAGTCAGTCTTCAGAGAGATAGTTTTATATAGTAATCTCACTGACACTCAGAGCTTCAAATCAACCCGGGTGAACCAGACTCAATGCCAAATTTCATCAAAGACTTAATGGTTCAAGGGATGATTTTCCAGGAAATTTCTCACCCAGAAGACATCTATTTTCCCTTACTCTCTGTTCAATGGCTTACTTTATCTAATTTTCTATGTGATTATCTTCCTCTGGAATTTGGGAGGAAATGCTAAAACAGATGTTATCCTACACAGTAGAATATAAACCTATAGAAAATTGTAACAGTTTTACTCCCCGCACCCGAAGACTAGAAGGAAGGTCTTACTGGTTTTCAGATAATTATGTTTTGGTTTAACTTTACACAGTTAACAACAGCTATATCAGATAGGTCCAGTCAAGAAAACAGGAACCATTTTAGATATAATTTAATATCGGAATTGGTATATAGACCTTTAAGAGTTAGTAAAGCAAAAATAGGATGTAAAAGAACATAGATACTTTCATGCCTATAATCCCAGCACTTTGGGAGGCTGAGGCAAGTGGATCGCTTGAGGTCAGGAGTTTGAGAACAGCCTGACCAACGTGGTGAAACCTCATCTTTTGTATTTAGTAAAAATGCAAAAATTAGCCCAGTGTGGCAGTGTGCACCTATAATCTCAGCTACTCTGGAGGCTGAAGCAGGAGAATTGCTTGAACCCAGGAGGCAGAGGTTGCAGTGAACCGAGATGGGGCCATTGCACTCCAGCCTGGGTGACAGGGCAAGACTCCTCTCAATTAAAAAAAGAACATTGGGACCGGGCTCGGTGGCTCACTCCTGTAATCCCAGCACTTTGGGAGGCCTAGGTGGGCAGATCACGAGGTCAGGAGATCGAGACTATCCTGGCTAACACAGTGAAACCCCGTCTCTACTGAAAATACAAAAAATTAGCAGGGCGTGGTGACGGGCGCCTGTAGTCCCAGCTACTCGGGAGGCTGAGGCAGGAGAATGGCGTGAACCCGGGAGGCGGAGCTTGCAGTGAACTGAGATTGCGCCACTGCACTCCAGCCTGGGCGACGGAGCGACACTCTGTCTCAAAAAAAAAAAAAAAAAAAAAAAAAAAGAACATTGGTATTAGTGATTACATAGAGCAGCAATTCTAGTTTTTAAGAAATGGAAGAGATAGGATAACCAGCATCTAGGGATTTGGAAGAGAAGTATGCTTCTCAAATGGACAACGGGAATGTTGCCCTTCCAAGGTGATGCTCATACCTGAGTCCCCGCCCCAAATTGCTGGCGCTCAGACTAGCGATGGAGGTAAAGTTAGCTGGTACCTCCCTTCAACGGGTTTATCCTAGCTGCTAATATAAGAGCTAAACATGTCTGGAGGCTGGGGAGTGACTCTCTGCTTTGATGTAATGCCAGCAGAAAAGAAACCAGACGAAGTGCTTTCCCCTCTCCCTCTTTTAATCTCCTTTTAGGACTTTCCATTGGCAGAAAAAAATAAAAGTATAATACCTGGAAGGAGAATCAGGGAAATGTAATTTATAGGGAGTTGAGGGATTTGGTGGAGGTTGGGAAATGTAGTTTACGTAAGCACAATTTACAGAAGAGGAGGCTCAGATCTGTGACAAAATAGGCAAATCACCAGCACAGTAGCTATAACAGTCTTCTGGGTTTTGAAGTATGTGCCTTCAGAATCATAGAACATGTGAGCACCACACTCATTTCACTGAGATATGGGAGAAAATGAAAGAGTTTAGTTTGGTCAAAAGCATCTGGGTGCCTTCAGAATAATTGAAATTGGTTGTCTGAAATGGCAAATAACTAAAAGCTATTGTTCAACAGTTCATAAATTTTGATACCGAACCAGCCTCCTCTCCTTAGAGGACCGCTCTGCCTAAAAAGATTACATGATGGCTGGAGTTTCCATATCTCAGCAAAAAACAGTTTTAAAATAGTATTTCACCAAGAGTGTAGAGATGGACAATACAGAAGCAGAGAGACCAATGTGACCAATTGGGCAAGAGATGTTGAGGAATTAAACTAAGATAGTAGCAGTGGGGATGTGAAAGAAAAGAAATTTAGAAGTAAAGGCAATGGGTCTTATTAAATGCGGGGCGTGAAGGGAGAGGAGGAACACAAGATGACTCCTGAGTTTCTGTCTTGGAGGATGGTGAGTCATAGTGTTGTCAGAAGAAAAAAAAAAAGGAACAACTGAAAAGAATTGAGAGGAAAGTTGACAGGTTTATTTTTAGACGTATTGAATGAAGACCTAGAGCTAACTGTTATCTAAACATCACTGGAACTTCTTGTATTATTTGGGCATTGTGTTTTGAATGTATGAATTTTCCTTTGTAGATTTTTCAGTTGAATAAATCCATTCTTTTCAGAATAAGTCTAAACGGCTCTATAGGACAACTGTATATATAGGCTTCTGCATTGTAGAGGCCACCAACTGCTTTCTCAGCCTCGTCTATCATTCCTTCCTCAAAAGTGGTGCTCCAGGAAGAGTGCAAACATTGAGCTTCCCTGAAAACACTGATACTTGAAACATCTGTACTTTGGTAAATGCTTTGTCTGTCATGAATTTTAGTCCACTCTCCATCTGATTATCTTTGGTCCTCTATTGAAACCCAGCTCAGCTATAATTTCTAAGATGATATTCTTAAGAAAATCCCCATATAATGGATCATTCTCTACTATTTATGTATTCTTTATTCCTCATATTTCTCAATTTTATGTATTTTTTACAGTTCATTTTAATGTATTTACTGATATACCTATTTCCCTTTCTAGACTGTAATTTATGAGTATATAGCTGGGATACATCTTTAAAAGTCACACCAGAAACAGTGAGATTTCTCACAACTCATATGCTGAGAAAATACTAGTTAGGTATATAATGAGATAGTTTAACTCAACCAAGTGATAAAATATGAAAAGGGGAGGGGAATAAATTCACAAAAGAGGAAACACAAAATGGTCATTAAACAAAAAATAACGATAAACCTCACCAGAATCAGTTTTTGCATTTCCTTTATGTTGACTAAATTTTAAACATGTTTCTTCCTAACATAAGCCCCTAACTTCTTTTTCTTAATGCACTTACTTTAGAACATTTGTAATTGTAAATTCTTTCTCTTCCCATTTGAGATTTAAATCTTCCAGTTTCTTGCCTGTTTCAAAAGCCAGGATTCTCTTTTTCAAGGAGCCATCTTTATGAGATGTAGTCATCAAGACAGAACCCCTATCTCCCAGTCTCTATGTCAGGGAAGCAGCCTAACTTTCATAAATACCAATTAGCAAACACATATGACCTAATCACATTGACCAAGCTCACTCCTAAGACCGGCCAAATACTTTTTCACTAGCTCTCCCAGGTGCATAAAACTATCTCATCTTTTGGTTCAGTGGAGAGTTCTCTCTCTTTCCCCTACTGTAATCATCTTGAATAATGAACATCTTCCTTGCCTATTTCATTCCATCTGTTGCAATTTCTTTCATATACACAAAGATATTTACCATTTACATTTTAAAAATTCAGCAAAATTAAAAACTCTGAGGATATGAAATTATGGTACAAATCCAAAAATAGTCTACTTGGAGTGCTGGTGCAAGTATGAATTAATATAATCACTTTGAAGATTAGTTTTGCAACCTAATGGAATACATACTCATGCACAGAGAGGCTTGCTTGTAGCATTGTTCATTAAAATTGGAAATAATAGATAATACATTGTGGTATATTCATACATCAATTATAATAAAGTCTATTTTATCAGCAGAAAGACAAATTGGAGGCATATACATTTTAAAAACACTGCTGTTTAATATTAATATTAAAAATAGTAATTCTATATAATTACAATATATAAACACACATATATATGTAAATCAGGGGGAAAGGATCAAAAAGGAAGAGCATCAAGGTGTCATCTATTATGCTATATTTTATTTACTTATAAAATGAAAATGATTGGGAAATTCACGTAAGATAGCAGTGGTGGTTGCAACATAGCTTTGGGACATTCAGAAATCCTTACATAAAATGAAAAGACTAACTTGATAGCAAAATTAAAATCACATGGATACCATTTATTAGACTGGTGCAAAAGTAATTATGGTTTTTGCCAATTAAATAAAACAAAACTCAGTCAAAATGTCATCCTCATTAACCTCAAAGCAGAAATGAGAGAGAGCACACCACCAATGGTCAATCTACACACTATCAGCATGTGTGCAGAAGAAACAGAGGGAAGCAATGCAGCAAGTTAAAGCCATGAAAACAACAGAACCCACAGGATTTATTGAAAATCAATGTGAAAACAGCAGAGAACTGTGAACATTTATGCCCACACTAATAATGGGTGGATGCAAGGGCTCTGTTATAAGGCTAAAGGAAATAAAGTCTCTGAAACCTGCTGAACTCTTGAAGCTTAAAATCTGCCAAGTTTTCTTACCATTCAGGATGAGGGGATTCCACATACAAGAGTAACTGCTGAAAGTGGAAAAAAAATAGTGAGATAAGAATAACAGAAAGTTAAGAAGAGAAGATATGAATAATCACTGGGGAGAGAAAAAGACCAGAAATTTTAGAAAACAAGCCACCATATTTTTTGACACTACATGACGAGAACAGAACAGGAAACTCAGTAGATTTAGAAAAGCTATTGAAACAAAGCTTTATTCTAAAAATGAAGGGAATTTATATTAACATAAAATAAGCAACAAATGTTTTGAGATCAAATCTCACAAAAATTTATCACCATAAATATTGCATATTCTGTTATGATCTCTGCAAACATAGTAAGCACACAATCAAGATGTTCAAAAACAGACTAAAATGAGATATAGCACTTCAAAGCGAGCTAAAAGGCAGTAAGCATGGGATACAAGACACAAAGAAATAAACTAGAATTAGAAAATTTCAGGAAAGAAGTTAGAGATCTCAAAAAAATAGAAGAATGTAAATTCCTTCAAAAATAAATACAATGTGCAGAAATGCAAAAGCAAAAAAGCACCACTAATAATATCTTAAGAGAAACAGAAGGTAAAGAGGTGAATTTTTCCAATCCAAAAGAATTTGAGCGAAGATCAAAAAGGTTGAGGAAAAAGCTGAAGATAAAGAAAATTCAACAAACGAAAAATAGGTGCTCCTGAGGAAGAAAGTTAAAAGAAGATAACAAATTATTAAAACCATAATTCAATAAAAGCCTCCTAGAAAAATATTTAAAATTACATATTGAAAAAGTACACTATGCAACTGGAATACCAACTCAGAGCTACCAACACAAAATACATTCTAGTAAAATTGCTGTACTTTAAAGAAACAGAAAACAAATCATTGTGCACTGAGGGGAGAAAAGCAAGTGGCTAATAATGGAAAGAAAAACAGATTATCATTATAATTTTTGCCACTAATGCATTCTACCAGAAAATGCAGAGCTTATTGAAAAAAAATGGAAGGAAAGAACATGTGAGCTAACTAACATTTTTGTATTGAACAAAATTAATTTTTAAGACTAAAGGACACAAAGTCTCATCACCATAAAAGAACTCGTAAAATATTGTCCCCATGAGTCCTTTATAAGGAATACACTAGAGAGATATTGATATAAAAGCAAATAGTGAGCATTATATAGTTACAATAAATAAGAGCTAAGTGGCAGATATGATATGTGACCTGACACTATCTCTGTATCTCTAGTATAACCATAGAATGGGGAGAGAAAATAGACAATACATACAAAAATGTTTAGCTAATTTTAGTAATCATAATGCGTAAGGGCAGTTTTAGTATTATTCAGATAATGTGTTATATTTAATGTGGAATAAAGTGAGAAATTATGAAATATTTTAATTATCACCTATGCTTCTAAGAGCCATCATTAGTGCTCAGATTGCAGTCATGAAATGACATTTCCCAGTAAAACAAATAAAGTCTCATGTAAAAATGGCTCATTCCAGGTTTGTGACAATGGATAAGCTGAGCTTAGTACATCTAAGTATACCAGATGGCAAAGAAACTAGTAAGTATTTTAAGGGTCATCTCAAAGGACTCAAAGGCAAATGGAAAAGGTACCAGCTGGCAAAATGTGAGACAGTAAGAACTTCAGTAAAAATAAGAATTACAAATGTTTTTAAAACTGGGTTCATGATGACATTTAAATGTATATAAAAGAATTGGTCATCTTCTGAGAAAGGGAGGGAATCAATTTATTATCTTGAAAACTGGTTCAATAAAGAAAAATTCAAGAATCTATCCTTCCCTTCCTGAGGTCACAACCAAAAGAAGTAATGGATCACTGAAATTGACTTTTGTATTGATAGTATCTGCCAAAGAAAAAAGTAATAACCTGATAGAAAGGGGTGACATAGTTTGGAGGTTGGAATCTCATGTTGAAATGTGATCCCTAGTGTTGGAGCTGGGGCCTGGTGGGAGGTGTTTGGGTCATGGGGAAGGATTCCTCATGAATGGCTTGGTGCCCTCCATATGATAATGAGTAAATTCTAGCTCTGAATGCATGAGAGATCTGGTTGTTTAAAAGAATGTGGCACCTGCTCCCATCCTCTCTCTCCATGTGATACACTGGCACTCCCTTTGTCTCCCACCAGTTTGTAAGCCTCCTGAGGCCTCACCAGGAGCTAAGCAGATGTTTGCACCAGGCTTCTCACACAGCCTGCAGAAACTTGAGCCAAAATGAACCTCCTTACTTCATAAATTATCCAGCCTTAGATACTTCTTTACAACAATACAAAAACAAAGTAATACTGGGGAAGGGGCTAAATTTCTTTCTTCTGAAATTTCAGATAAGGAAGCAAAAATTTGTCATATACTTGTTTAAAAAGTGAAATCCAATTAATTATGAGGGAAATAGAAGTTAATTACTTGTTTTACTTCTATCCTTTAGATGAATATGAAAAATCAGTGAACGTGAAGAAAAGTGTCTACAAAGATGGGGAGCAGTAGAAACTGTCATCATTTCTAGTGAGAATATGAATTGGTACAATTGCTTTGCAAAGCAGGCTCACATACCTAGTAGAGCTGTACATAATCTTTTGTTTTGTGGCACTGCCCTGCTACTTCTAAGATATCCTGCATCCTCTTGCACATGTATATCAAGAGATACTTTCCAGATGGTTTAGAACAACATTGTTCATATCGTACCAAATGCCACTGATTGACATCAACTCCAATATTCATCAACAAAATACATACATAAATGAGTTATGTATTCATAAATTAGAATACTATACTTTGGTAAAAGGAAATGAAGGCTGGGTATGGTGGCTCATGCTTGTAATCCCAGCACTTTGGGAGGCTGAGGCAGGTGGATCACTTGAGGTCAGGAGTTTGAAACCAGCCTAGCCAACACGGTGAAACCCTGTCTCTACTAAAAGTACAAAAAACCCAAAAATTAGCTGGGTGTGGTAGCACATGCCTGTAATCCTAGCTACTCTGGAGGCTGAGGCATGAGAATTGAACCCAGGAGGCGGAAGTTGCAGTGAGCTGAGATTGCGCCACTGCACTCCAGCCTAGGTGACAGAGACTCAGTCTCAAAAAAAAGAAAGAAAGCAAAAGAGAAATTAAATGAGTACACCTATATCCATCAGCATGGATAAGCCTCAAAACCACACTGTTTAACAAAAGGAGTAACAAGACAAGAGAGACTGTATGATTTGATTCATATAAAATTCAAAAACCAGAAAAAACAAGTATTATTTAAGCATGCACATACTGTTGGTTAAAACTGTATTTTTTATAAAAGTTATGGTCAGGATAGGCAAACTCTCTGTTCAGTGAAATGTGTTCAGAGAGGGGCCTATAGGGCCATGGAAATGTTGTATTTCTTGGACTCGGTGGAGGGTTAGGTACAACTATATTATTTTCCTTAAATTATGTGTGTGTATAACTGTATCTACCACTATCTGTGCCTCTGCCTGTACTTTGCCCAATTTTTTTTTTTTTTTTTTTGAGATGGAGTCTCACTCTGTCGCCCAGGCTGGAATGCAGTGGTGCGATCTGGGCTCACTGCAAGCTCGGCCTCCCGGGTTCACACCATTCTCCTGCCTCAGTCTCCTGAGTAGCTGGGGCTACAGGCGCCCGCCACGACACCCGGCTAATTTTTTGTATTTTTTTAGTAGAGCCAGGGTTTCACCATGTTAGCCCAATTTTATCAAACATTCCTTTATTACTAATTTATAGAAGCATTTTTAAAAAACTACCTTTTACATATTTTATCCAATACTTTTATTTCAATGGACAGGTGTGAGTTGGGTAGACACTCTTGGAATGCTGACTATGGATTAAACCACTTAATCTTCACAAAAAAATCACTTGAAGAGTCCTGCTTTTATTCAGGTCTTAAGGAAATCTAGGCACAGAACTTGTACAAGGTAGGAGAGAAGTTACTTGTTCAAGATATACTAATTTTATTGTGTGTATTTTTTAATCTTAAGTAGTTCACTATATTGCTGGTAAAAATGAATGCACAAACAAAATG
Source organism: Homo sapiens (assembly GCF_000001405.40). Lineage (NCBI taxonomy): Eukaryota > Metazoa > Chordata > Mammalia > Primates > Hominidae > Homo > Homo sapiens. Next base: position 92,152,209 of record NC_000013.11, on the reverse strand, counting down.
ACCACATAGAAGAGCTTTAATCATTCCTCTTTGCCCAGCAAATTAAATACAAACTCCACTTGTGTATTCAAAAAATCAATTGTAACATTTTTAATTCACATTTTTAGCTTTCCAATATTTTTTTCAAGTAATTTAAATAATTCTGTTCCTCTGTAAACACACCCCTTGTTCTGTTCATGATGTTTGCTCCTCCCAGGAAACCTTCTCATCCCTATTGTCAGTTGCTGAAACCAAATTATAAGTCCATCCTCTCAAATACCACTGTCTCATAAATATTGCAGGCAAATATTGGTTGCTTTTCCAGATTGCCCTTTCTCTGTCTCCTCTATGAAGTATTTTTTAAGCTCCCCATTTGGATAGTTTCTTTTCTTTCTCTGAGCTCACATAAAACTCTGATTGATCTCTCTTGGCATATAATGTGATATAGGGGATTGTGCACAGTATTTCTTCTGTGTTCATCACCAAATGGAAGAGTTGATAAATGTGAAACATTTCTGCTGAGATACCAGAGGTACTATTTCAAAATAGAAGTATCCTTAAAGAAAGTATAACCTGAGAGCGTCAGGCCCTGCAAAAGGATGGAAGTGGTTCTACTTTGGTGTTAAGAAGTAAACCTCATGCTAAAAATAATCAGAGACTGATACCAAAGTTCATACAGAATCAGCCACCATTACTGGCCTAAGTGTTACAGTTCCAAATGTCCTTAATCATATGATGCCTTCTTATAATGCTAATATACGGTGTTTTAAAAAATTTCATCATGCTTTAATAGAGAGTATTTTAGAGATACAAATAAAGACTGTAATAAAAAAGTGTACATTTTTGCTCTTCATAATGTGGTCCTATGGACCAAGGAATAGTAACATCATCTGTAGGCGGGTAAGAAATGCTCCACCCTCAGATTTCCTGTATTATACTCTACTTTGTAAGCAGAGTCCCAGGTAATTTATATGTATGAGAAAGTTTGAGAGGCTCTGGGATCAGCTCAAATACTCTTTTTAAAAATTATTTCTACTTAGTAAGCTCTCAATTTTCTGTTCAATAATAAGAAAATGACTACTTCCACACAGTTAGAGGGACTGAAGTCATTAAAGACCCGAAGATATACCTAATTTCTTTCTACCAGATGCACTTTATCAATCCCGAGACAGAATATCGCCATTTCAATAGCCACTCTGTTTATTCACAACAAAATGACATCAAAAATAGACCTAGATAAGAATGGGTTTGTTTCTGGTTTTGTTGATAGCTATATGACTTTGGCTAAGTCATGAGAAAATTTACCTGATAATATTTGCTTGAATTTTTTTTTTTTTTTACTTCCTCTATTGATCATATAGTTACACTTAGCATTGTGTTGTTCAAAAAAGACCACAACTTCTCATTTTATGTTCTCTGGCGTGGGATAGATTTAGTTATGACATATTACAGAACAGCTGAGTGATCTGAAATGCAAGCTAGGAGGGCTCCTCTAAGCCTTAATTAATAAGTCATCCCTCTTCACCTCAGTGATTTAACATCAGTCTAAGCCAATGCAATGAAAATAATCACTTAGGCATTCAAGGACAAACCTTTTACTTCAATTCTACTATTTAAATATATTAATACATAACTTTTCAAAAGAATGAAAGATGATTTTATATGATTCATTAGGTATCTACATTCCATTATACAATATTGTTAACAAAATAGCAGGCAGTCAGGATGAGTATCAATTATTTAGAAACCAAAATGGAAATGTATAATCAGAAAAATATTCATAGTGATCACATATTAAACTATGTTTATCTTAGACATATATTTCATTTCTCTTTAGTATAATTTTCATCAGTACTACCAAAACTGCACTAGATGGTAATTTCAAAGTATTTACAATTTTGAACATTAAACTGGATTTGCAAGTGTTTATTTGTGAATTTTTCTATGGTTTTATCATGCAGGGTTTTATCTGACCTTTAGAATTAGGTACTTGTAAAGTGTAGATCAAAGTGTGCAATCATTACTCAAGATTACTTTCAATGTCTTGCAAAGGTTTTAATCTAATGAACCTTCCAAAGATTATTTTTAGTATGAATGGATAAATGATAAGCCTTATTGAAAAAATAGTTATTTTCAGTAAATTTTTCTTATATTTGAAAAAATATTAATGGGTTATTTTTCAACAGTTTACAAAGTAAGCTGAATATATTTTATTTTGATTAAATTTGGTGAAACTTTAATTTTAGAAAGAATATGCATAATCAATAAACATATTTTAAAGTATAATCATATAGTATAATGGCATTCAAATCTTATAGGCATATGTGTTTGAACTCATATTGATAGGAAAAAAATCAATGAGACTACATAACATTTTATAAAATAGTATCTGCAATATGAATAAATACATAGTTTTCCTAGTTCTGGAAAGAAAGTAACATCTTTTTAAGGTCTCCTTAACTTCCACACCTACCTGAGACTTTTGAAGTGAAGGTGATTTATGGTGAAAATAAATATGAGGAAGCCAAGAACTTTTGCTCACTCTACAATCTTGCATTACTAAATAAATCACCTTCCCTTATTCTTCAGCGGCTAGTAAAGTGTAATTTTCATTTTGCTCTGTGCACAGAATATACTATTCTCTTTCCTAGGTCATTCTTAGTACGCTGACATGGATACATTTGTTAGAGGCAGATACAAAGTTACCATGTGAGAAAACCAAAACACAACACAAACAATAGTTCTATTTATTTTACTCTAATCAACCAAAAATTCTAGATCTAGCAATTTAATATTGCAATGTATTATCCTACTATTTCTAAATTAATCATATTTAAGTCAGATACTTTCTGTTCCAATAAGCCTACCTCCTACCTCCTAAGGTATTACACTGGGAAATGCTTTATGAACTGGATAGTGCTATCAGAGGCAGGGAACCTTATTATTTTCATAATTACGATTCAGTAAGGAGTCTGTGGGAAAAGGGCTAGTTGTCAATAGACATGATAAAAGGTTTGAGAACTGAATTCTGGAATCCTCAAATATTTAGAATGTGGAATGATGAGGAGAAGCCCAGCAAAATAAATCCAAAGATTGAAAACCACCTTACTTTTTAAAAGTGTCTGGTATCTGGTTCTAGTTGTGATCAGATGCATTTTCCCTCGATTACCACTGTGAACCAGCTTGCCAAAATGAATTTGATCATGGATTATGTATTACTTACTTTTTATAAGTAATTATTGTGATTTAAATCATAAGATCACATAAGAATTGTAAACAATGCCACCACAAATTTTCAAAATTATATGTAGAATAATTTTGCTACAAGTTGTTTTTAGTAGTTCTGCTTTTCAACATTTGAAGCTATCCAGATTTAGAGACCTAAGAAGTATAGTCAGATATTTCAAGAAGTATAGATTTTAATATTAGATTCGTTCTGCATGGCCAAAAGAAGAGAATTATTTTTTCCAGTTGTGTTTAGAACCTTCATCAGTTAGCTACTGTGAAAGAATGGCAGGTGTCAGGCAAGGGGTGAGGCGACTTTTAAGTTCAAAGCCATTCCAATCCTGCAACCCCAGGTTACTAGTGAACTATCTATATCTATGTAAATGAACCAAATACATATAATAAAAATGTGGACAAATTTTCCTAATGGGATTTTTAAGCCATTCTACTGAAATCAGTTACTTAAGAGTGAAAATTACATAGTATAGATGGCTTCTTTCTTTGAGAAACATTAGTTAACATTTAATTATAATGTATAGGTGGGATTACAAATAGAAATTATTTAGAAAGCAGTAAGATGGTTAAATAAGTTGATAACATTGGTGATGAAGACAAAATGACACCTAAAAGGTACGCAAATATTTTGGTGGTAAAACTTTGCATATTGAAATATAGAGACCCCTCTGTCATCTGATATAAACATGAACAAAAACAGACACAGAAAATCAGTTCAAGTAATAATTAGCAAAATATTTACCAACTTTTTTCATTTGCATAAATAGGGCAGAATCATGAAATTTCAAAGATACAATATTAGTATTAATACTCACAACTATATATAGTTATATGTAGATATATACACATATATAACTTTAAATTTAGTCAGACTTTTTATGGTAACAAATGAACTGTGTGCTATTTATGTCATATTTTCCAAAGAATAAATGAAAGCGTAATGAAGAAATAGTGGTGCATTTCAAGTTCTTAACACAGATGACACCTTGTTAAACTTTTTAGATCACAATATTTTGAAGTCATTAAGACCATCTAAAACTATGCCTTAACTTGCTTTACCAATATATTCAAACTGGGCCAAAACGGGCAAAATACTAGAGTGCTTTATAAAAATAGAAATGTGACCTACACTTCGCTCCTTTCCTCGTCCCTCTTTACTTCAGCATGCTATCCCGCAGTGGTTTTCTAACCACTTATTAAAAATTGAAAGGCAACAGCTATAAACTCGTAGAAACATAAGAGGCAACCCACTTAGAGCAGATGTGGATTTTCAGAAAATGCTTGCCTGGAGTTGCTGAAAAATCATCTCTCTTAAATCGCCCAAATTCTGATGGGTAGCTGCTTGTACCATGCCTGTCCATTTCAGCAGTAATTGAAACCCAGGTTTTGAAGTAAAAATTTTTGTCAACTTGTCAAGTATAGTTTTGTGAAGAAAACTATTAGTAGTTGAATATGCTTCACTGCCTCTACCTCCTTTGTGAAACAAACAAAAAAGAGTGACGTACTAATATATAACAAGTTCTTGAACTTGTAAATAACTTCATGAAGTAAAAAACTTCCTATAAATATACTATTTATACACACATATGCACACACACTCACACACAAAAAAATGCTTTACTTTGTAATAACTTTATGTTCTAAAATACTAATATTTAGATGGCCATGCAATTATAGTACAAATAAATACTCCAGATAGGATGAAAATGAAAGATTATTAAATACTGCCCTGATGGATAAGTGTTATAATTCCTAAATACAGTGGAAGATATTTTAGCTTTTAGTAAAAAAAAAATTGTTTCTAGTGAAAACCCTTTTTCATTTTCTTTCACCTCACATAAATTATAATTTGCTATTTGACCATGATAAAAATGTAATAAAGTAAAAACTTTCTTATATAATGACATAGTATCTTTTTAATGACACAATTTCATGACTTAGTAGTACTTACTCATCCTGGCTTCACGTCACGTCATTTATCAATATACAATTTATATCCATTATGCCCTAAGAGTTATTCCACTTTCAAACCTTTATAATTCTCATGAAAAGATATGGAATCAGCCCAAATGCCCATCAATCAATGAGTGGATAAAGAAACTGTGGTATATATATATATCATGGAATACTATTCAGCCATAAAGGGAATGAACTAATGGTATTCACAGCAACCTAGATGAAATTGGAGACCGTTATTCCAAGTGAAGTAACTCAGGAACAGGAAACCAAACATTGTATTTTCTCATTCATAGTGGGACCTAAGCTATGAGGATGCAAAGGCATAAGAATGATACAATGGACTTTGGGGGATTGGGGGAAACAGTGGGAGGAGGGTGACAGAAAAAAGACTACAAATTGAGTACGATGTATACTGCTCAGATGATGGATGTACCCAAATCTCACAAATCACCACTAAAGAACTTACTCATGTAACCAAACATTACCTGTTTTCCCCAAAACCTAAGGAAATTAAAAAATAATAAAATAAAACCTTTATCATTCTCAGAACTGGTGATAATTCACTAGTATTTTTTTCACAGAAAACTATAATTTTCATCAAAAGTTATTAGTCAAAAATAAACAAAACCACTAAGAATACATGCCCTAAATAAATGAAACAGTCATTTTCATTTCCAAATTCTCTTGCTAATTCCCAAATACATTGTCTTTATTTTCTTACATCCATAATAATATCTTTAATTATATTTGACTTAACCAAAGAAAGAAAAAAAGGAGAAACCAATCTGATAAGCTATATTAATACTCATAAGAACACATCTTTATCGCATTCTGTAAGAATAGAATATATTTAACTAGCACTAAGAATTTTGTGGCCTTTTGTTCAAAGGCTGCTCAAGTGCACCAATTCTCATCTATTTATTTTCCATGTTAAATAAAATGTATTACTGTGTCTAATGAGAAAACATTTCATTATGTTAACTGCCTTTTTAATTTTGCACCTCTTTTGGCTTCCATTTTTTAAACCAATATATTTGGCTTGTAAAACCAGATCTTAGAAGGAATGAGGAATTGATTTTGGAAGCATTTATCGTGCTTTTAATTCACAATGAGAGAATTATAAAGTAAATGAATTCTTCTCCCACCAAAAGGCATGTCTAATAGGTGCAAAGCAGCTCTGTGTGGTTTTGAGGGAAGCTATCAGACCAACCTCTACATATGACTGCACCTTTCCAGAAGGTGACCCCTGCCTTTGGTATAATCAAGATTACATGAATAGTTGAAACCAGCTATTCTAGGTACATCAACATTTACATTATTTCTCAGTTGGTCACTTTTGTTGTTTTGCCCATATGAACAAATGCATGCAGATAACAATGGAGTGTGGAGAACCTATATTCCTTATCTTGTATGTGATAATCAGGAAGGGAAATCTATTTGGTAATTTTTTGTTGTTATTTGAAAATTCTATCCTTTGTGGTAGCGATGAGTTCTGAAATGGTTTCAAATCCATACAATCAAAATCAATGTTTAGTGAGTTTTTTTTTTTGGAAGGGGAAATTCATAAGCATTAAATCCAAGTAGTTTTCATGATCAATAACCATATACCAATTTCTATGCAATTTGACTATGATAGAAGTGCAATAAAGTAAAAACTTTCTTATATAATGATGTAATTTTTTAATTGCACAATTTGATTATTACGTAGTACTTACCCATCCTGGTTTCACGTTATGTATCAATATACAATTAGTATCCATTATGCCTTAAGAGTTATTCCACTTTCAAACCTTCTCAGAACTGGTGATTGTTTACTAGTTTTTTTTCACAGAAAACTATCATTTCATTAGAAGTCATTAGTTAAAAATAAACAAAACCACCAAGAATGTATGTCCTAAAAAACCAAAAATAGATTCATTTCCATTTCCAATTCCTCTTGCTTGTTTTTGAATTGTCATTATTTCTTTACATCCATAACAATATCTTTAATTATATTTCAAAATCATTGTTTTAAAAAAGTGGTGTTAGAATCATACACTTACAGTCTGTGATCTTCAGTGTCCTCTTGACTTCTCCACTTCCTGATCCCCCGCAACCATCTTCATCATCACAGTCCCCACTGACTTGTTCAACCATGCCTCCACCACTGCCCAGCTGAAGAAGTTCCCACTTGTCAGGTTTGGGTGATCTACCCTGTAACAACTAATTGTACATAAAGAAAGGCCTTTACTAATAGCAAATTTGAATAACATAAGAATTCTATTCAGAAAACTTATTTAGAATTATTTTGTTATGTGGATCCACTCTTTTGGTGTAGACACCAAGTCAAGTCTTTAAGAAAAATGAAACAACTGAAATAGTAATAAATAGCGGGCAAAGTCTTACACCTATAAAGAGCTACACTCTATGTATTAGTTCTGTGGCAATGGTTTGGATGATTCTTTGGGAAGCAAATGAAATTACACCTTCTTTGCTTATGGCAGTTTGTCTAGAGGATCCTTTGTTTCTGAACAAATAATGTTTAAATATGGTAAATCAAATTCTAGTACTCCCTCTGTAGTATATTGGCTGATAATTTTGTGCTGTTTTGTAAACCCACACTCCGTATTTCTGAAGAAGTACGACTCTTCCAGAAAATGATTCTGTCTAAAGAAATCCAGAATTTTAGACATATACATTTATAGTTTCATTTAAACTTTCTTGGATCAAATACACAGTCCAATGCATATGGCACATACTGAACCTTGGGACAAAAGACTTAGGTCCTACATCCATTTCTACAAATCATTTAAGAAATTTAATGACTTCTCAGTTCTTGATTCTCAAGTATTTCATTTATTTTAATGAGCAAAACAGATGGAATAGACATTTTCCCCTACAGCACAGGAGTTCCAGTAATACTTTTGAACAACATTGGAAATTTCTGAATGTCTTTTCAGAAAGGTGATGTTATAAATAGAATATTTCACTTAAAACTAAGCCTGATTAAGATAGTCCAATGCAGTATGTTACATTTACCCCTCTAAGGTGGTTTTGGAGAGCACATGGCCAAGTGTGAGCACTAGAGGGTACTAGTATATTATGAAAAAAATGTACAACTGCTGACCACTTAGTGGTCATTTAAATTTTCACAGCACTTTATGAAAGACTTAGGGTTGTTACTTCTGTGACTTTCCAAATAATATTATCAATTAGCAGACAATAATTAAACACACAACTCAAAGACAGCATTTTATACTGAAGAACAGAGAGTCAAATAGCCTCAGGATATCTAACATAAATATGTTTATCATGTTACAAACACTTAGATTAAGTAACTGGATTGTGAAATTCACAAACTTTTAAAATTAAACAGTACAAATTTTAGGTTACCAATTCTGAAACATTAGTTTTCTAACAAAAATACTAAAACAATTTGACAGTAATTTTTAAATTCTTATTTTTATCAGCATTTTGCAAACAAAGTCAATAGGTGGCATTAAATTAAAAAGAAGTCTTCTTTCAAGATCAAGTGAACTCAGCAAATATTAAGTTAGACAAACTTTTCTACTGTGTTTAATATACTGATGTGTATACTACTCCCTGTAAAGGGAAGGGATAGTACAGCAATGAAGAAACACAGATAGGAAATAAACACATAAAAAGTCAAATCTAAAAAGGAAAGGATAAATGGTATTATTTTATACCATTATATAAATGATAAATAATGATGAATGGTAAATAAAGTAACACCAGTTATCATTTGTTATTGTGAAATATCCCATTTGTTATCTATTTAGTATAATCATAAAGGGCTTGGATTCTGAGGTCCAACATACTTCGATGTGAATCTTGGATTCTGACATATACCAACCACGAGACATGGGGTATTGAGTAAGTTACTGAATAAATCAGTTTCCTCAAATCTATAATAGGGACAATAATACACCTGGACCATTGCTCATATTGTGAGAAAAACATATGCAAAGCACTTTGCAAATATTTAATATGCCAGCACATTAAACATTAATACATTTTGATTATTATCTATTCTATTATATATTCTAGTACAATATTGTTTAAATATCCAGAACACATTAATTGAAAGAATTAGTTAAAAATGCAATTATATGATTTATAATTTTTCAAAGTATTATCAGACAAGTACAACAAAAGCCTAACTCTCTGGTGATATGCTGCTTTCTTTTGACCTCGACATTCTTTTCCAACATTTTCCCGTATCAACTTTATTTTCCCTTTACTTCCCTAAGAATTATTCCAATATTTTACTGGGATCGTGGCAAGAACACAGATGGACTCTCATTAACACCACCAACAGTGTATATGTTATGAGGATCCAGCCAGGTAAATGAACTCAAAAACACAAACAGAAAGATAATTGATTTTTAAAACCAAACTTACTATTTTAAGAAATTGATTTTGGTTGAAAGTGATTGGATATATTGTCAGAATTATTCATTTATTTGTAATTATTGTTAAATATAATGGAGGACTTAAAAAACATTTATTCTGTTTTCTCCATTTTTTTCCTCCATCACTTCAGTGACATTCTAGGAAATGTCTGAGGCACATGAACTCAAATTTTTAAGAAATAAAACTACACAAAACTATATTTTAACTATTCGTGCTAAGGAGAACAGCAAAATGGACACCAAGATTTTCCACCTTAACCCCTGGGGCTGTGAATATGATGTCAGTCGTGCCTACCAACTTACATGACAAAAGGAATTTTGCAATGTAACTGATGCCATTAATCAGTTGATTTTGAATTTACAAAAAGGGAGATGATCTGCTTGGAATAATGCAACCACATGATTTTTTTCCCTTTTTTAAAAATTATACTTTAAGTTCTAGGGTACATGTGCACAACGTGCAGGTTTGATACATAGCTATACATGTACCATGTTCGTTTGCTGCACCCATCAACTTGTCATTTATATTAGGTATTTCTCCTAATGCTATCCCTCCCACTGTCCCCCAAAGTTTCCTCTGACTATCACCAGAAGTTAGACATTCCAAGCATGAGATGTGAGGGTGAGGAGCTTGCATGCAGGGGCCCATGCTGCTGCCCTTGAGGGTGTGAGCTTGGATGATGTGATAGGGCCTATCAAAGGTCCTATGGCAAGGAACTGTACCACTAGTGGCCTCTTGGAGCTGAGAGTGACCTGCCTTGCAGCCAGCAAGGAATTGAAGTCTTCATTCCTACAACTGAGTTCTCTCAACAACCTAGACGAGCTTGGGAGCAGATTCTCCCCCTCAGCTCCCAAACTGAGTCAAGCTAGGCTGACAACCTGCTTTCAGCCTTGTGAGACCCTGAGCAGTGAGCCCACCCAGACTTCTCATCTGTGGAATAGTGAGCAGTAAATGGATGTTGTCTTGAGCTGCTACATGTGTAGTAATTTGCTATGCAGGAAGAGAAAATGAATACATGAATACACTCTCTAACCCTCAAATGGGCCACATTTACTGCTTGGCAATTGTGTTTGAAAGCTTTTGATTCTCTAGCATGTTTCTCAGAATGAGAGGTCATCATTTCTGTAAGATACCACCTTCCTGAGAAGATGGTACCCTTGGAAACAAGCTCTCAGAAAAACCTTTTCAGTTTATTTACCTCTTAATAACCCCTCTCACTATATTTCCAAGTCTCTGAGCAAGAAATATAATTGCGTGATTCAGATATATCCAGGATCCCACCCGATTCGTGATTCTCAGTCCCCAGTACTACCCTAGCCCTCTTGTAGGGTCAATATCTCCCTTTCCTTTGCATGGAGGCTCTGCCTGATCATTTTCATTTTCTCGCTTTTCAATTATCATACATCCACAATGTACACTTTCACTCTCATATTGTAATAAAACTTGATTTGCAGAAATTTCCAGTAAATTTGTAATCAACAAAAACAATGGGCTTTTCACAATAAGATCTTTATTCAAATTTTCTTTAACTACACTATCCTGATTTCTTCTTAAAAGTTTGCTTATCTTTCTCCTCACTTCCTCTCTCTTGCCTCCTCCAACATCCACATGGAAGTGTTTCAATTAATAATATAAATCCCCTACTTCTTAGTCTCTTTCTTGGAATTCATCCTAACAGATTGAGCTCTGACTTGTATACAAATTACACTCAAGTCCTTATCTGTAGCCCTTGTTTTTCTCTGTAGTTCACCTCTAAGCAGCAACTGGAAGTGAGATGAACTCTACCACTTTCTGTCTTAAAATAAAACTGCTCATCTCCACTATTCGTGTGTCATTACAGTTTATCTTCCCAGCTCCCTCATTACAGGGGCCATTAGTCTCTCCTACCCACTACCACCATATTATTTTCTTAAAATCAGTACTTTCACCGTGTCATTTTTCAGCCTTACTGCTCTCTGTGATTCTTTACTGTCAAAACCACTGGTTCCCAACATGACATGTGTCTAGAGGAGAGTTATCAATCCAAAAAGATGGGTCACAGAAAGAGTGATAAAATGTGGAAAAATGTTTGAGAAATGCATACCATGGCCGCTTCTTAATTTCCTAGAACTAAACCCTCATGAGAAATTTTGCAGGAGGCAATCTTGTCTATATGAGATTTGTCTCACAATTTCTAAATGTACCTAAGAAAATTACCCCTCTTCCCTCACTGAACATCCACTGACATGCTTTTAGAAATGACGCCAAGAAAAAAGTTCAAATTTGGCCCAGAAGTCAAGGTTCCATATTATGTATTATTTTGTTTTGCTTGTAAATTGTATCTAAACACAGCTCCCCGCTACCCAGCTTCTACTGCAGAACCATCAATCTGTTCTTCCAGAAATTGTATGACTTTATGTCTAGAATTTTGCTTATGCTTCTTTTACATTCTTCTCACTTCCAACTGCTGTTTTTCCTTCACATAGAATACACCCTTTCATTTTCTTATTTTATCTACTTAATTTTCAAATTCAAACTCAAATACCTCTTTTTCCATCCCGCACATATTTCTGTGATAATTTTAACTCTGCATCGTTTACTTGCACTTAATCCACTTTCTTGAACGTGTCATATCTTTCTGATTAGTAATAAATTTCTCAAAGGTAAGAATTCAACCTGCTTTCCATCACCTTCCATCATGACTAGAGTACTTACCACATTGTAGACGCTAAATACATCTATTTTGATTTATTTATTTGAACTTGGAAATAATTTAAGCTTACCCTGCCTTCAATGCCCTCTATATCTAATGGAATAGTGTTTTCTCTTCTCTGAAAATCATCAAAGACCCTGATGTTCTAGAAAAACTTTGGTTTTACACTTATTGACTGGCAGATGAACTGATTCATTTATTCATCCCATGAAATTAATTCAGTATATTCTAAATATAACACTTTTTTTTTTTTTTTTTTTGAGACGGAATCTCACTCTGTCACCCAGGCTGGAAAGCAATGGCGCAGTCTTGGCTCACTGCAACCTCTGCCTCCCAGGTTCAAGCAATTGTCCTGCCTAAGCCTCCCAAGTAGCTGGGACTGCAGGCGCATGCCACCATGTCTGGCTAATTTTTTGTATTTTTAGTAGACACGGGGTTTCACCATGTTAGCCAGGATGGTCTCGATCTCCTGACCTCATGATCCACCCGCCTCGGCCTCCCAAAGTGCTGGGATTACAGGCGTGAGCCACTGCGCCCAGCCATAACACGTATTTTGAAAGATAAACATCCGTATCAAAAGAGAAGGCATAGCCTTGGTTCTTAAGAAGTGATTACATACTTTATTTCAAAAATGAAATATATGACTATACAGCAAAATAAAATTGGGATAAAAAATAACCTGAAAATCAGGAAACAGGAGAGACAGTGTAAACATTTAGTTTTGTGGTCTTGCTTAATTATTTTTCTTATCGCCAATAAGGAATAATTTAAAATGACCTTATTCCTGAGTACCTGGAGACTTCTAAGTTTTTAAAACAATTTAATGTTGAAGAATCATACCAAGAAATACTTCCAACATATATTTGTGTTGCCATCCTAGTTACTATAAACCAGAGAAAAATGTTCTAATTACCCTTTTTAATATGTACAAAAATGCTTCATTATAAATCTGGAATATAGGAATATTTTCAAAAATGGATTTTTGCAAAAAGTCTGTTATTTTTTTTTTCCCCTGCAGCAGGGACAGAACTGTAGCTTCATGATCTGAGATATCAGGTAAGGAAGTCCTCCCCTATTCTTTCTCAAGGGATAGGCTGTTTATATTCCTCTCCTCCAATCCCTCAGAGACAGCATCAAATAACTCCCCTATGCTCTGTGCTGTGTTGGCTCCATCCTCGGGGCAAGTGTTATTATTTCACATCTTACTCTTAAATCGCTTTCAAGAAATAGACATAGTTTCCACCAAAGAGGAGCCCTTCCCAACAAACCTTTAATAACAACAAAGGGTTTCCATATATGCACCCTTAAGCGAACATACACAAATGAAATGAATCTACAGATTGATAATGAAGCCAGTATTTTTATTTTTATTTTTATTTTTTTTTATTTTTTATTTTTTATTTTTTTGAGATGGAGTCTGGCTCTGTCACCCAGCCTGGAGCGCAGCGGTGTGATCTCGGCTCACTGCAACCTCCGCCTCCCGGGTTCAAGCAATTCTCCTGTGTCAGCCTACCGAGTAGCTGGGACAACAGGTGCACACCACCACGCCCAGGTAATTTTTGTATTTTTAGTAGAGACAGGGCTTCACCATTTTTTGCCAGGATGATTTCGATCTCTTGGCCTAGTGATCTGCCCACCTTGGCATCCCAAAGTGCTGGGATTATAGGTGTGAGCCACTGCGCCTGGCCAAGAAGCCAGTTTTTATAAGTGACACATGAATATCAATCGTATTAGACACACTCCTGCCACATACTTTAACAAATCTCTCATTTTTACCACATACATGAATAGCTGTCCCATATATTCATACAAGATGATTTTCTTGATTAATAAACTTCATTTTTTAGAGTAGTTTTAGGTTCACAGCAAAATTGAGTGGAAAGTAGAAGAGTTCCCATAGACTCCCTACTCCCAACACACACACAGCTTCCCCCACTGTCAACATCCTGCACCAGAATGATGCATTTTTTATAATAGGTGAACCTAAACTGACACGTCACCATCACCCAGAATCCATAGTTTACATTAGGGTTTGATAAAATAATTTTTTAAAACTTAAAACCCCAACAAACTTGACATTACTTCTCTGGGCCACACATTTTCTGCATTAGTAAATGGAATACGAATATTTATCTGGAGCTGGGAGTGGTAGGGCATGCCTGCCGTCTCAGCTTCTTGGGAGGCGAGGTGGGAGGATTGCTTAAGCCCAGGAGGTGGACAATGCAGTGAACCATGATTGCATCACTGCACTAAAGCCTGGGCAGCAGAGTGAAACTGTCTCAAACAAAATGAAACAAAATAAAACAAAGACAACAAAAAGGTAATATTTATTTGGAAGGTTTTGTGAGTATTATTTGAGATACATTATGAAAAATGCTAGCACATTATGAGTATTCAGTTATGGTTAGTTAACTTTATCATTAAGATCGTTATAACCAGTAGGAGCTGACACTGCTACCCCAATCCTGTATTGGAGGAGAGAACCCATATGGGAGTAACATTAACTGGCTCCCCACTCTGCCTTGACTCTGTCATTTGCGTCTACCTAATTATAAAATAAACAGTGTTTCAAGTTTTGAACTTATTCCCTGTCATGGTGGGTACAAAGTCAATCACTACACCTGTAGTTATAGAACAATTAGAACAGAGGAAAAGACACAATTTTGAATTCCAGCCACACATTAATTGTGTGCCTTTAGGCAAATCACTTAAGCTTGTTAAATTCAATTTATTCTACTGAATAATAATACATGGGAAAGCACTTTATATACTTGAACGAACTATGCTCATTTACAGGGTTCTGCGCATGACACTGCATCCGTAAAACTGAGAAACCAACAAAGTGAGGACAGGATGAAAAAAAAAAACAACTTTCGGAACGTGCTTCCTTTCCTCAATGCCATGCAGTTTGTGCAGTCAGCTGATTAGCCAAAAATAGTTTTGATGACTGATGCTTCCTGCTTATGTTTAGTTGGTTTAGGAAGCTCATTAGGGATGCTATCTTGGAGATGAGTCTGGTGGGTAGAATATCTGATGACTCTTAAGCAAATGTACTTCTTTCAGCTGGTGAATTAATTTCTCAATAGAATCAGTTTGCTTTTTACTAACTGTCTGGCAATATCCCATATTTGCTATAGCCTTTCAAACACTTGCAATAAGATCTGGCTCACACATACAACCTGTTAGTGGTGAAAGAGAAACATTCATCATATTCAAATATCTCCAAACATGAGAGCAGATGAATATGCTTTAAGACAGTATACATAATGATACATCTCCATTTTTCCCTTCCTCTTACGATCATTTACACAGATATATGAGAAGTAAATATGTGTTTAGAAAGTATTAGTCATCATAGATGTACCTCTAGTCACCCATTCAAATGTAAACATGGTAAAATATGCACTTGTACACTTTTATACTATAATGAGTATAGGTAGGTGAAAATTAGTGTTGCCAGAAAAAATTCAAACCAGAAAACTGAAGGTATAGAAAAATTATACTTTTTATTTTGTGATTGATAAACCATCTTTAAATAATATATCATGTATAGAATAAAAAATTATGGATATATACATGCAATTATAAATATATGTGAATTTAATTTTGTTAAAAGGTAATTGGCATCTGCAATTTCATGGAGACTAAGTGAAACCCATAAGGAAATGTGTATGAAATAGGAAAGCAACAAAAGCTCGTAATATTTTAAAATTAGAAATCAGATTCAAAATCCATCATGATCTATTTTAAATTTATCTCTACAACATATTTCAATTGAGACACAAAACAGACTTTATATAACATGACTCACTATTTAGAGCATAATTCCCTTTCCCCAATCCCCAAACTATGTTTCCATCTACACGCCACTCCACCCAACTCTCACCTCTTCCATTAGCATGATTACAAACATATTTTACAAATCTTATACCAAACTTTTCTACTGTCTCTTTCAAATGTAGAAATACCGTGTACATAAACCCAAATACCACAAATCTTCACATTTATATTTTCTAAAGCAGTTAAACCTTTATAGACAATTCTACCTAAAAAGCCGAACGCGCTTTACAATGTGTCATGTTATGTTAAGTTGACCAGACACCGAAGTCATTTCTGTCGGATTTCTTGTCAGTGTTTGCTTTTAAAGTTTGAACTTTCTGATCTCGGCTCCTGTTGTGCCAGTAATTTGAAAGGTCACTGCTCTGTTGGCATTTGGTTTATGCAATGCAGTCTGGCAATTTATAAAAGTCTTGTGAATTTGTACACAGAATATTGAAGTTAGAAAAGGCTTATCACTCTCTTGGCTCTAATACTGCCCAGAGGTTATTTGTTCTTTTTCCCATAAGAAAATCCTGTATGTCTCTCCATTACCATTCCTGATCCTTACCTCCGGTTCAAAATGTGGCCAGTTCCACCTTCTAAGCCCTCATACCAAAATTGACTGGGTAGGTTTATTATGAATTTGTGTCGTTGTCCAAACTCTACATTAGACCTCCCAGGAGAGTTCAAACTAAAAACTAACGAGTAAGTGAAATATTACAATTGAAACAGGGGAGAAAACATAACCTCAAGTAGGACTCAGAAAAATCGTGGGACCAAAAGAGGAAGAGTACACGCCAAATGTTCTCAATTCTGAAATGGCTCTTGTGAAACATCTATATGAAAACACTTCAAGGACCTGAAAAAAATTTGTGAAAAAGCAAACAACCTGCCTTGCAAAACAACTCCAGAGTTAATGTCAGAGCTTTCTATCAAAACATCCATGTTAAGTTCACTGGAAAGATTCAGAAGATCAATGACAGGAGTAAGGGAAAAAAACAAGGACATTTTGTGAGTAAGCAATGTATAATGACCCTGCAGCAGGAGAACCAGAGAGGGGGGAAAAGGAAATGGAGGGTATAAGTAAATTAATTGCCTCTAACATGTTTAATGAAATAATTAGATGTGTGACGCAAATTTCTTAATAGTCAAACATTATGCAGTATGTGATGCATAAGAATTATACTACCCCAATTTTTTTAAATGTAAGATTTTCTTGATGCCACTTTCATTTGCCCACACACACACGAATGGCACAAATCACATATACATATACTGACACGAAAATGTATATGTGGGAGGGAGAGAAAGAGGCAAGAAAACTTTCATCATGATACATTGCCAATATAAGAACTCCCTTTTAGAAAGATATTTTATTCAACTTATCAAAATTGTAATTGCCAATGGAACAGAAACCATCACAAATAAGAACTTGTAACTGACCCAGGTACAAGTGAATTTCTATGACTGAAATCCAGGGGCATTCTAAGCAAAAATAGTTCAACAGTAACTAATCTCATTATTTTTCAATTTTATTAAGTCCTATTTATTATATTTATAGTGTGGTTTCTCATCAAGGAGTTGCTTATTGAACATGCCAAAAGCCTTCATCTCTTTAACTAGGTCTTTATATGCATAGGGAATGTTTAAATATCCACAAAAGTAATACAAACTAACACTTTTTACATTTTAACGTATATATTTGAAGATATGTTTTCCCCAAATGTACAGTTCTTCGTGGCCTGGATTGCCTCAGGAAACTGCCTTTGCCTGTTGTGGGTATCATGACAAGTAAGGGCACTGGTAATTCACTGTGAGAAAATGCCTAGCTGTTTGCCTGGTTATGCCATGTCATCTTCCAAACACTACAGAGCACAGTAACCTAATTTTCAAAATCAAAGACAGAACAAAACTGAACAGCTACTGTTCCTGAGGCAAACAAGTGAATAAATTCCAAAATATGCCATGAACTCATTGAAGATGAATTTTAGACAATTCTACATTGCCTGTTGAATCAGCATTCTATTAACCACACTCTACAGAAGTGAAGCCAACCCATACTACCAAGAGTGTATTAATTTTGCATGCATTTCCCAGTAAGCAATGTAGACAGTATTAATGTCTATATTGCCAAGGTAATAGTTTTCGTCCCTCAACTCATCTGCTAAATTTTGCCTCACCTGGCTCAGTCAGAAGGCACAGAATTGACAATACTAACTAATCTCAGTTATCTCCACGGACAGAAAAAAACATGTATTTTCTACATGGACTGCGGGAATCAGCATTTTCTGTTCTTAACTTAGATTTTTTTCCCTTGCCTTTTCGCTTTATGACCCCAATGTACTGATGTATTTCTAACACTACAACAAGATTTGTGTCACTCAACTCTGTGTGTTGTAATCATTGTCTTTTAACCATTTATCTCCATGAGACTGATGTCATTGAAAGATAGAAAAGAAACAAAAAGCATAGAAGGGAGAGAGGGAGGGAGGAAGACTTTAATCATGATACAATGCCAAAGTAAGGGCTCCTTTTAAGAAAGATTTTAAAAACTTTCTTCATCAAAATTTCCATTGCCTCCTTGAATGAACTGTGAAGGATTGCAAATTCCTTTAAAACTTGGTTTTGGCAACAAATCTGGATTTCCTTCATTAGCCAGCTATGCAGAATTCATTTTCAAATGCTCTATTAAAAAGGGAAGTTTCCCCTAAAGTTTCCCAGTCTATTAAAGGTTTCCTTCCAAAAGGAGCTCATTCTGATCCCATTTAGTACGACACCCTCGTGTACGCCAGATGGCACAGCATCATAGCTTCACAAATGTCATTCTGATTCTCACCTTTAAAATGAAATTCCCTTAAGCTACCTTTCTTTACATAAACTACAAAATTGTAGACAAAGATATGCCAAATTGAAAGCCTCTTTTGCTAAATATTCTAGAAATAATTTGAGAAAAATGGGTGCCATTTGAAACCTTAGTTGTCTTGGAAAGGGGGTAGGTGGGTATTTGACTACGATTCTGGTCAATATTTCTCCTGTTAACTATTTAAATGTGTGACCTTAAAAGAAAATCAATCTTGTTGAGACTAATAAATGTCTCATCCAAAAAAAAATGAGGAGCTTAAAATTTCTTATGTGTCTTATAGCTCAAAAATTTTCAATTCTAATATGTCTCAAGCCATTGTAACATTTGCTTTAGAAATAGGTATTATATAATCAAGCCATATTGCAGGCCTCTGTGATATTTATTTCAATTTCATTCCATTTTAGGCTAATTTTGGGATTTTAAAAATTGAATTATATGTTATGGGTTGAAATATGTTTTTCCCCAAAATATATGCTAATGTCCTAACCCCCAATACTTCAGAATGTGACTTTAGAAATAGGGTCTTTACAGAGGTAATCAAGTTTAAATGGAATCATTAGGGTGGGCCCTAATCCAATATTACTAGTATTCTTATAAAAAGGGGAAAATTGAACACAGAGGAATACGCACAGAGGGAAGACTATACGGAGACACAAAGAATATGCCACGTGTAGTCAGAGACTGGGCGGACACACCTGTAAACTCAGGTATACCAGTGATTTCCAGCAAACCACCAGAACCTGCAAGAGATTCAGGAAACACAGACAGCCTCCCTCATATCCTTCTGGAGGAAACTACCTTGACTACATCTTGTTTTCAGACTTCAAGCTTCCCAAACTGTGACACAATAAATTTTTGGTGTTTTAAGCAACCCAGTTTGTGGTACCCTGGAGAATAGCTCCCACAAATGAATACATTGTTATAGACTAAAAAGTGCATAAATCATACATGTACGATTTTCACAATCTTTCAATATAGTCTCAGTCATGTGACCATCATAAACAAGAGCACCTCAGAAGCCTCTTTTATGCCTCATTAATTTTCTTCCACCAAATATAACACTCTTTTGACTTCCTCTACCATAGCTTCATTTTTTCCTGAGGAAATTTATATGAATACAAGCATATTTGTGACATCACAGATGTAGCAACGGTTCTTTAATTGCTGTATTTTATTCTATTATATCAATGATCCAATAAAATATGTTTACATTCTGCCCTTGGTGGACAATTGAACTGTTTTGAGTGTATGGATATAAAAATAATATTGTAATAAAAGTCTTTTGGTGTAAAAAATTCCCAGTTATATCTGTTGGGTATATACTTAAGTGTATAATGGTGGGTCATAGATAGGCAAAATGTGCTTTATTAATCTACTTATTTTTCTTCTTTTAAATATTAATATATAATTTACACGTAACAGAGTATACAGATCTTAAGTATACTCCTTATTGAATTTTCACATAGGTTCATATACATGGAAAAACTTAGATAAAAAAAATCATCTTAGAAATACCCCATAAACCTTCTTGCCATCTCAGTCAATAACCACAACCCAAAAAAAGGTAACTCCTATACTGACCTCTGTTTACATAGATTCATTCCATTAATAATGTTAATAGGCTATTAATGAGCTTCATAAAAATAGTATCATGCAGTATACATGCTCCTGCATATGACTGATTTTATTCAACATTAGGTTTTAAACATTTATGAGATTCTTATATATACCTATAGTTCATACTTTATAATTTTAATAGGGGTATTCCATTTTATAAATATATAACTGTGTTATTAGATGATTCACCTGTTTCTAATTTTGGGCTACTATAAATAACGCTAATTGAATATCTTATACATATCTTTTGATAGACTGACATAGACTGAAGTACTCAATGATCTTGAATATATACATCCAGGAGTGGAATTGCTGGGTCAAAAGGTACATATACATTTAACTTTAGTAGATATCGCCAAACAAATTTTCAATATGGTTTTTCAGATTTACATTCACATAACAGTCTATAAGAGTGGTAGTTATTCCACACCTTCTGAAACCCTTGATATTATCGGTCATTTTAATTTTGGGTATTTAGTGGGTATATAGTGGTGTTTAAGGCCGTTTTAATTTGCATTTCTGAGCAATTAATGATTTTCTTAGGCTTTTAGGTTTTTAAATATCTGCTAATAAAGTGCCTATTCAAGTCATTAGTCCATTAAAAAATAGATTTTCTGAATTTTTCAAATTGATTTTTAAGAGTTCTTTATTAATTCTGGATTTAATCTTCTGTTTCTGTTTTTTTACTATCTTTTTCTTATTTTTTGCCATTTTTAGAATAATTATTTATTTTTCATCTTATTAAAATACTTGTAATTCCTTTTCAGTACTTTATCTACATAATCCATTATTTATTCTAGACTATTGTGGACTACCTTAATTAGCACTTTTTCCACTTCTCCAACAATATAAGGACCTTAGGACAGTTAAACACTATTTGGCTACTCCCACTCTTTGTTGTCATATATTTTATACAACATTTAAACTTTCTAAAAGACAAGTTAATTATATTTATCCTTACTTCTCATGTTTATTTGCATGGCGAATATTCCTTATAAATTACTTTTCTTACAACATCTTTCAGATTTTTGTGTCAATGATTACTGGCTTCCCACAAAAAATTAAGTGTTCTTTCTTTTGTATTATTTCCTGAAAATGCTTGTGTAAGCCTAGTCCAATTAGTTCCTTAAGTTTTGGTAAGAATTCACCAGCTAATCCACATGTGGTTGGAATTGTGTGTGTGTGTGTTTGTAAAATGTGTTAATCATATAGTTTCTATAACAGATACAGAACTTACTCAGATTTTTAGAACTTCTTGTGCCAATATTTTAAGACTTTTTTTTTTTTTCAGTTAACATCATTGCTTCCTCTAATTGCATGCTTCTAGCTGGGATAATTTTTTCTTAGTCCGAAGAACTTTCCTTAGTATTTCTGTAGTTCGGGTCTCCTAGGCAAACATTCTCTCAACAATTACTTGTCTAAATATATTTTACTGTGTCTCACTTTTGTGTTTTTCACTGGTTATTAAATTTTAGACTGGCAAATTTGCCCCTCAGCATGTTAAAATGCCATTTCATTGTCTCCAGCTTCCAGAGTTTTTCTTGGAATACTTATCTGTGCTCTTTTACTTACTTTTGAGGCTTTTGTTTTAGTTCAGCAGCTTATAATCTAGTCAGGTAAGGTTTTATTTGTATTATGTTCCTTAGGTTTTGTTAACTTTCTTGCAAGTAGGTTAATATTCTTTATCAATTTTACAAAATTTTTGACCAACGGCTCTTCTGATATTGCTTATTCTCTATTCTCTCTCACTTGTCTTTATGTCCAATTCAGTTATAGTAGATGTTTTGACTGTGCCTCATGTCTTTCTTGTTTTGTTCTGCTTTATTCAATCTCATCAGTTGAGATTATTTCTACAGATCAATTTACATTATTTCTATGAATCTCTTTTCAGGTTGTTTTACCACACTTATTCAAAAGCAAACCTATTCAGTGACATAAGTTCAATTATTGTATTTCTGTTTTAGAATGTCTATGATTTTTTATAGATTTAAATCTTTGCTACAATCTCCATTTCATCCAGTTTGTCTACTTTTATTATATTAGCAATGGTTATTCTAAATTTGTCCGCTTAATTCTGAACTGTGAATCTGTGGAGCTGTGCTTATTGTGCACATGTGTTTTGTTGATTGTTAATAAAATTGTTGCCACTTCACATATCTAGACATTTTTCGTATCATGCTGGACACTATATAAAAGAATAATGAAGTATTCTGATAATGTTAGTTTTAGAATGTATTCCCACTTTTCTCTAATGAGAAGATAGGGTTGGGAGAAAGTCATTATCAATACAATCAGAGATTGAAGTAGTCAGGATTGAGGTTTAGTTTCAGTAAGACTCTGCCATCTTTGGCTTATCTCTGTTTCTGAAGTATGATCCTTTTGAGGTTTTGATTGAGAGCTTGCTGGAACTACTTCATTAGTCATTAGTCTCAAAATTAGTCTCAGATTTAATCTCATTAGTCTCAAAATTCTGTTGGAGATTAAATTTCAGGGGTATTGAGCTTAGGCCTTTAGCATTTCACCCTATTCAGCTTCAAAATCTTAGAAATGTGTTGAACAAGGGGGTTGGCCATGTTTTTGAGGCAGGCTCTCTCCCTTGCAATGAGTTTGGCTCCCAGTTGCTTTGGTATTCTTGAAGATTTTATTTTACTTTTATTTTTATTTTGAAATGGAGTCTCACTCTGTCACCCAGGCTGGAGTGCAGTGGCACAATGTTGGCTCACTGCAACCTCTGCCTCCCAAGTTCAAGCAATTCTTCTGCCTCAGCCTCCTGAATAGCTGGGACTGCAGGTGCACACCACCACGCACAGCTAATTTTTGTATTTTTAGTAGAGATGGGGTTTCACCATGTTGGCCAGGATAGTCTCGATCTCCTGACCTTGTGATCCAGCTGCTTCTGCTTCCCAAAGTGCTGGGATTACAGGCATAAGCCACCACACCCGGCCAGGATTACTTCTTAAATTAAAAGCATGCCTGCAATTGGTCCAACAAGGATTTAAGATGGCTGTTCTAAACAGGTTTTGCTAATGAGACCGAGTTCTCTGACAGAG
Source organism: Homo sapiens (assembly GCF_000001405.40). NCBI lineage: Eukaryota > Metazoa > Chordata > Mammalia > Primates > Hominidae > Homo > Homo sapiens. Next base: position 92,128,577 of record NC_000013.11, on the reverse strand, counting down.
TAATGAAGTAAAAATGTCTTGTTGGTATAACAATCATTCTGAGATATTATTAAGATATGTTATTGAGAAACTACCCTACAGGTCTTTAGAAACCCAGGACAAGGGAAAGGCAGTAGATTTCAACCAACATATTCTGAGGAAGCAGCTTAAAATGTGACAGCATATCTTGTGTTTTGGTCAGTTGGTCTAAGGTAACTCAAATGTGTAAATCATAAAGGCTTTAGAGATGTTCTTGGAGAGAAATGTGTAATAACATAGGTGTCACTGGTGAAAGTGTCAGGAAAACTACTATGAACCACTCTCTATAAAAGGTGCTGGGAGAGTAATTTACTTTGGCCTGTAGGGCTCAGGTTAGCAGAGGGAGGAACAACAAACCCTGAGAACCATATAGGAGTGAATGACAGACAGGGATACCAGCATCTATTATCAAAGGACCCAGAGGAAACCCGAAGAATAGGGAAAAGCTGAGTAAGTCAATATTCAGTAGGTTTTAAAAGAAGGTAAATATCAAAGGAGAGGAAGATTGATCTCAGAAACATCCCTTCACCTGGAGAGTAAAGATGCCATCAGAAGGAGCCCAGGCAAATGGAAACCCTGGTCCCTCCAGGATTGTCTTATTTCATCGCAAAGTGAAATTTTGTTGACTCAAATCAACCCAATAATTTCCTGGCCTGGTGTACATTGTGAAAGATAGTATTTCACACTGTTCTATGGGTGTATTTGTGCTTTTTTCTTTGAAAATACAAAAAAAAGTTAATTTTCACATGAATAATTCATTATCATTATAAAATCTTAGCCAATATAGAAAACTTCGTGGTTAAATAAAAACTTTATACATTTCAATGTTAAACATCCCTCATAGAGCTTTTATCCCTGTTTACCCAGCATTTTGTTCATGTCCCTGTACTAGGCATGTGCCCTTAGACAGCTGAAACCTACTTAGATGTATCTGCTATTCCAGACCTGTATCTGGTGTTCGGATGCTTAGTTCTGCTCTGCTAATTCAAGGAATATTAATATTTAATCGATTGAATCCTGAGTACCATTATGTATGTTTCTACTCCTTGAACCCTGTTTAGGGGAACCCTATTTAGTTCTATCAGTAGGGAATTTAAACAACAAAAGGAACCTGATTATTTTAAATCATTGGATTTTTTTTTTACCCTGTATAAGTTCAATTCATACTTTAAAAAAGCTAATATTCTAATTTATACATTAAGTATCAGCATCTTTTGATATATATATATACACATACACATATATATACACATATATACATATATACACACATATATATATACACATATATATATGAGGCACTATGAAAAACAGTGTTTACTTTTGGTTCAAACTAGCTTCCTTTTAAGGCTGCTCTCACCTGCTTTCATTCACGCTTTCATCCAAGTGTTCAGTAACACACTGGTTTTTCGCTGTTTCCTCAAACTTTCCTAGAAGTATGCAATCACCCCCCCTTCCATTATAATTCTTTCTCAATCAATACTACTTTTCCTTCTGAGTAGTTTATCCTTTCTAACCATTAGGAAAAAAAAATATGACCAGCTGATTAAACCACTTGACTTAAGGGTTGAGTGGAAAAGCATATTCCTCCAAAATTGCACTTAAATATTGATGGAGGAAACTGTCAATTCAGAGCCATCTAAGCACGACTGCCTCCTCTTCTATATTGTACCCTGCATTTAAGCAGTTATCACATACACACAAATGCACACACATGCATACATACACACACACACACACACTCCAACTTTTCCTTTCCATTTCTATTGTTAGTATCCTACTGGTTTAAGGACCTAACACCCTACATGTTTTAATGAGTTTTTTTCTCTCTACTCAAATCCATTTTATGATGGAGACCAGAGATTGACAAACATTTCCTGTCCAGGGCCAGATAGTAAATATTTTTGGCTTTGCAGGTAGCACAGTCTCTGTCAAAGCCATAGACATTACATAATGAATGAGCATGGCTGTGTCCCAATAAAACTTTGTTTACACGTATAAGCTGCAGACTAGATTCGGCCCATCAGCAGCAGTTTGTTGAGCCTGGATCCACATAAATCTTACTGATTGCAGATTTTCCCACATTACTTATTACTTAAAAATAAAATCAATCATCTCACTACTTCAACAAACTTAAATAATTTGTCCTATGTGCAAGACATCTATTTACTTGTACTGTGATATCACTAAAGAATAAGATGTTAAATTTAGGCTGAGAATTGATAGAAATTTTCCAGTTGTCTTTTTCATACACCTGCAATCTAGTGAAAATAAACTATTGACTTTATATTTCTGATGAAATATTTTGGCCAGGTGCGGTGGCTCATGCCTGTAATCCCAGCACTTTGGGAGTCCAAGGCGGGTGGATCGCAAGGTCAGGAGTTCAAGACCAGCCTGACCAACACGGCAAAACCCTGTCTCTACTAAAAATACAAAAATTAGCTGGGTGTGGTGGCACGTGCCTATAATCCCAGCTACTCAGGAGGCTGAGGCAGGAGAATCACTCCAACCCAGGAGGTGGAGGTTGCAGTGAGCTAAGATTGTGCCACTGCACTCCAGCCGGGGCAACAAAGTGAGACTCATCTCAAAAAAAAAAAAAAAAAAAAAAAAAAAAAAAAAAAAAAAAAAAAAAAAACCAAAAAACAAATGTTTCCTTTCTAATGCTAATCTTTACATGTTACTATCCAAAGTCCAACTCAACTCACATATATCTTTCCTCAAATGCTAATTGGATGAATTTCTACATTAGATAAATTTTCACATGATACTACTTTGCACTATACCATTTTGAGGGCATCACCATTTTGAGGGTTCATCTCAGTGTCTAGTACAGATAACATAGTGTCTTACACATCACAGATGCTCAGAAAGTAATTGTTAAATCAATGCTTAAATAATACAACTCTACCAATGATTTTCCCACTGACTTGAACTAAACATCTTGTTCATTTACCTCTTTTCCCTCTCCTTTTCTCTTTCCCCCTCCCTTTCTCTCTCCCATCTCTGTCCTCCTCCTACTCCCGATATTGGTAGATCCTATAAAATCTTATAGAATCTCACATTTATCTTTTACATCATTCACGTTGCTTCAACTGAAATTCAGATCTTTCATACCTCTTCATTGGACTATTAAAATAGTCTAATTCTTTTCTGTCATTATCTCCATGCCAAACCATCTTTATTATTTATTTATATGTAATATATCACCCCCAAACTTAGCATTTTAAAACACACATTTATTGTTTCAATTTTTGTTGGTGGGAATCCAGATGTGGATTAGCTGTGGCCTCTGACTCTCACTCTTTTAAAAGTCTGAAGTCATCTTAAGGCTAGACAGGGAATTATTTATTTCCAAATTCACTCACACAGTTGTTGGCTTTAGTTTTAAGCCAGGTGTTGTGCTATAGACTCCGTTGGTTCCTTGTCACATGGGCCTCTCCAGAAAGCATCATACAACATGGCAACTCCCTTTATCAAAGCAAGCAAGCGAGAGGGCAAGAGGGAATGCCAGCAAGAGTTGGGGGTGGTGAGCAAGAGGCAAGACATAGTTCCTTGTTACCTAACGAAGGAAGGAACGCTGCATTACTTTTGTTGAATTCTGTCTCTTAGCAGCAAGGCACCAGGTCTAGCTCATACTCCAGAAGGGGAGATAACACAAGATACCGGGAGGTGGAATCAGAAACATGAGAGCTGTGTCAGAAGCCACCCATCCCACCATTACAGATAATTATTACTTTCTTCTATTATGTTATTTTTCTCTCCTTAAAATACTTAAATGACCTAGAGTAGTGGTCTCTACAGTTTTTTTTTATCCTGCTCTTCACTCCCAGAGTATATTAGTTGATGCAGCAGCTTGTCTCTCTTCATTATCAGCAAACTCACACACAATTCATGCATGCAGTAGAGATGCTCTCTGTGTATGCAGAAGTCTGACTCTGCAGAACACATATGTTATTAACATGTGGGTGACTATTTTTATCCATGAGCCATTCAATTTCCACTTTCCTCATTCTCAATGGTCAAAAGTGTTGCTTGCTTTCTACTCTTTACTTCTCATTGTCACCTGGCTTCTGTTAACAATGTTCCTGCCTATACTTTTTTTCCTTTTTGCAATGTCATTTTCTGCTTTCTTGTGTAATTTCAAGTAAAAAGAACCTTTTTTAAACAGTTTCTACCATGGAGTCCTCCTGCACGGTGTGACTTCCCTGCTCAAAACAGTTGTAACATCTGGCTGTTTTCAGTAATTTTTCCTAGTTGGAGCTCAAAGAATAATATGAGAGAACTAGTTTTTTTTTTTTTTTTTTTTTTTTTCATTCTGTCCGGAGTTAAGATGGGAGGGCTGATAATTCTGGCAGATTATTGCAGGGATTGCTAAGATTTTATTACATGAATATGTCTGTCTTTATTTGGATGCTTTTTTTTTTTAAAAGAAAAGCACAAAGTTAACTGTAGTAAGGATGGTTATTTATATTGTTTATATGTACCTTTGAGATTTCGATTTTGTTAAATGATTATTTATTAAGTCATTATTCACTAGAAAAGAGAAACAAAGCTGAAAACGAAAACCTAAATTTTGAGGACTTTTCAGTACTATCGTAACTATATGCAAACTCAATGCTATTCATCTTTAAAAATAATTTGGAAAATAGTTTAATGAAGACATCTTCGTAGAAAAAGGTACACCTAAATAAGGTTTATTCAATACAAAATTAAGAATATATTTGGTAATGTATGCTTTGAATTAATTTTTAATATCTGTTTCTTATGTATGTATTTAAAAGGCAAATATGAATTTTAATCATTTTTTATTCATAGGAAATGTATAGGGCATTCATAAATTTTGTCACTACACTTCTCTGACCTTATATATTCAGTTTTGTCCCCTTGTTTACAATCTGACGGAGCTGTAAAGGCGTAATCATTAACCAATCAAAATGAACACCAAAAGGTCAGTGCATTACATATTCTAGCTGCTTTCCAAAAAAAGGTATCAGGCATTCAAACTTTGCCACATTTTTGCAAGTCCAAACTTGTAAAATAATCTAAGGTGACATAAATGAGACTCTGGCTCCCTGTAAAATTTGTAATAAACATGAGAAGAAAGTTCAATTCCCTGCCTTTTCTTTTTTATTATCATATTTTAAAGTCAGTCTCCAAAATTCTAGTAAGTTGATATAGGAAGTACTCCTGTTATAAATGTCATATAACAATCTTGTGAATGTTTTCCAGGCTGCAAGTTTCTTTCCTGCTTCAGCCTCCCAAAGTAACTGGAATTACACGTGCCCGCCACCAAAACCAAATAGTTTTTTTTTTTTAAAGTAGAGACAGGGTTTAGACATGTTGGCCAGGCTGGTTTCAAACTCCTGACCTCAGGTGATCCTGCCTTTCTTGGCCTCCCAAAGTGCTAGGATTACAAGCATAAGCCACCCCACCCAGCCAGTGTCAATAACTTCTATCATGACAATTATCCATTTTGGCCATCAGTTATTTATAAATAAGTGATAAGACAGGGCATTTTGCCCTCACATCTATTTGTGATCAAAGGAAAACCAGTATCAAAGAATAGTTATTTTCTGCAGGATCAATGTGATTGGAACATACATAATGTCTATATTCTTTGTATGTTTAGTGTGAAAAATAGTAAGCAAATGATTTGCATGCTTTAAATCATTTGTAAAAATTGCTTTTTTTTGTTGCCAGTATATTTTAACCATTCTGAAGAGAAAGATAAAAAAGGTTTTTGCTTCTTTAAGAATGAATGTAAGGAATAAAATTAGATGGCTAAAAATGTTAAAAAAAAAAAAAAAAAAAAAAAAAAAGACTGACCTATAGGCCAGGAGGAAAGTCTGCCACTAACATTAAAGGTATGAAACCATAACCATTATTACACAATTTTATCCATTGCGTAACAGCAATGGATGCTGTTTCTGTGCTGAATGGAAGGTGAGGTTATAGCAAGAAAACTGCCTACAAGGCCTCATTTACAGGGAAGTTTTGAGAAGCTGGAGAAACACTGAGAAAAAGCATATATGATGGTTGGAATTAAACCATCTACAGAAAGTATGTTCTAAGGCGTTAGGATAAGCACCTAATTAAGCACCAGCAGGCTGAAGCAAGCAGAAGCGTAATCGGAGCTACGTGTTCACACCTCGCTGCTACTGAGAAGCAGCTGAAGGCAGTATCTCTTCAGAAGTTTCGGACATCTGAGCCTTTGAGGCCAAGAAGTCTATGGCTGCTAAAAGCAAAAGGGCCAGCAGATTAAAAAAAAAGTTAAAAAAAAAAAAGCGCTGTGTTTTAAAACCCATAAAAACGTCACTGAGAGCCCAAGGTAAATTGTCACTGCAAAGACAAAAGGCACCCTAAATTGCCTAAGCTTCCTGCTCTCCACATACAATTTCTTTTTAAGATTCCTGGGCAAAGTAATTACTGCTTGATCTGCATCTGTAAAACTATTTTAATTGCTATATTTCGGTATACCATGTGATGTTTGGAACATTGCTGCTGTCACTGGATGAATGGCAGAGTCTGTAGATGTGTGATTTGTCGCAAGTTGCTTCTAGCAAAGACTGAAGTTTATTTCTTCTGACCTTGATTATTACAATCGAATGAGGTAATTGGATGAAAATATCCTTACGTTCATTCCAATCCTAATTTTTTTCTCTTTTAAAATTTTATAAGCAAATAAATTTGGCACTTTCCTCACATTTCAGCAATCTTTTCAGAAAAGACAAACTCTTCACTTGGCCACTATCCCATTTAAAAGGAGCCATGAATATCCTGTGAATGAGAGAAAAGGAGGTCAGGCACTAAGAAGATGTAATGACATTTGGAAGTCTGAAGGTGAATAGAATTGTCCTGATAGTCTGGCTAAGAAGAAGAGACCCTCCACTCTGAGTACACACAATGCCAATGTAGAGGCAGTTTTTCCAAAAATCACCATGGATAAGAACTGGGAAGAGAAGCAGAAATGAAGAAGATTCAAAAGTTGCATATGGGAACAGCTATGGGGGTCAGTCTTCCACATACTTCTCCCTATCGCATCTATTGCCTGTAGCCTTTCCACAAAGGATAAAATCACCTAAGTATTCTTGAGAACAGCACGGATTTGTCCAGAAGAGGCTCGGTGAGACATAGCTGAATGACAGTTAGACCTGACAGATTAATTCAGCAATTGTTTGTGTGACTTCTCAAAGAGCAGAAGTGAGTTACAGCATCATCATAAATGATGGTGAACAGAGATGCAGACCTGAACCAGAACTTTCACCCAACCCCCACAAATGTGACTCCCCACCCTGTGACTAAGCCCATTGGCTCTGGAGCAACTAGTAGAGAAGTGTGAGTGGATCAGATCAACCAGAAGAAAATCGAACAAAGGATTCTGAAGAGTGGAACTGAGGTTACAATAGAAATGTATTCAATAATATGGAAAATAATTATGTCTATATTTTTTAAAAGAAAAAAATACCAGTTTTACTTGGACGTATGTGGTTGAAGGAGAGGGGCTGTGGGCATCTCTATCCTCCTGTTGAATAGTGAGGTGTCAGTAACTGTGTTCAATTGAAGAACTAGTGGTCTTTTCAGAAACTTTGCTGTTGGGATTAAAAAGTATGCTAGTGGATAGGAAATAATATTACCACAATAATTTCAAGAAGAATTGAAAAGGCAAATGTTGAAAGCTAAATTTCAAATTCATTTGAATATGAATTGATATTTACATAATCTGGAGGCAGAGCTGCATAGAGCTGGACACCATAAGGGAAAGGACTACAGATTAACTAGATAAAATTTCACATCTCAATTTTCCAAATGAAATTTTATCCTGTTTAGTAAACATCACTTAAACACAATTTTAACATTACAAATATATCCATACATACATATGTATAAATGTGTTATTTATGTAGAAAGAAAATGATATACTAAACAGATCAACATTAAAACACATTTTTGTACATAAAAGTGATTAACAAGGGAGAGTAATGTGTTTCTTTTTTCAAAAATAGTCATTAGGCTGGGCTTGGTGGCTCGCACCTGTAATCCTAGCACTTTGAGTGGCAGGAGTGCTTGAGTCCAGAAGTTTGAGACCAGCTTGGCTAACATAGTGAGACCCCATCTCTACAAAAAAATTTTAAAAAATAGCCAGGCATGATGGTGCACACCTGTAGTCCCAGCTACCCAGGAGGCTGAAGCAGGAGGATTACTTGAGCTGAAGATCGAGGCTACAGTGATTGATCATGCCACTGAACTCCAACCTGGGTGACAGAGACCTCATCTCAAAACACAAAGATAGTCATTAAAAAGAAAGGCACTTCTTCAAAGGAAGAAAGGCAGTTGATTTGTCATAGAGTAAATTTTATCAAGAGTTTACTTACTGCTGCTTTTAAAGGGTATCTTACAGTCTGTAAATTAGCGGATGGAATAATGACTTGTACTTCCCTCTTATGAGTAATTAAAGCAGTTTATTTTTGTTCAGTACTTCAACACCTGCATTTACTGTCTGATTAGGCAACTTTTATAGAATCTGTTATCTGCAAACCCTCTTCTCATATGCAGATCTACAACCTGTGAATATAACATTCCTGATTATATCATGACCACTCCTAGTGGGCTATGCTGGTAGCTTGTTTTGTATAAATATAGACCCAGTGCTTTTTCCTCTTTATTCTTTCTATTGAGCGCTCTTATATGTATAGTTGTGCAGAGAGAATACACTTAATACAAATATTTTCAGAATTTATTGGACAAAATGACACAAAACTAAAAAACTCATCTACACATGAAATTCAAAGGAGGCATTATTTTTCCTTACAAAATTGTGGAAAAATTAATTCAGATAGTAACAAAGAGCTAGTTTTAAAACTAAAATTCTCCCAGCACTTTGGGAGGCCGAAGCGGGCGGATCACGAGGTCAGGAGATCGAGACCATCCTGGCTAACATGGTGAAACCCCGTCTCTACTAAAAATACAAAAAAAAAAAAAAAAAAAAAAAAAATTAGCCAGGCGAGGTGGCGGGCGCCTTGTAGTCCCAGCTACGTGGGAGGCTGAGGCAGGAGAATGGTGTGAACCCCGGGGGGCGGAGCCTGCAGTGAGCCGAGATCGCGCCACTGCACTCCAGCTTGGGTGAAAGAGCAAGACTCTGTCTCCAAAAAAAAAAAAAAAAAAAAAAAAACTAAAATCCTAATGTGAATGTATATAGGTGATATGATTTGACTGTGTTCCCACCCAAATCTCATTTTGATATTTAGCTCCCATAATTCCCACATGTTGTGGCAGGGACACAGTGGGAGGTAATTGACTCATTGGGGCTGGTCTTCCCCATGCTGTTCCCATGACAGTGAATAAGTCTCATGAGAGCTGATGGTTTTATAAAGGGGAGTTCCCCTGCACAAATGCTCTCTCTTGCCTGCCGCCATGTAAGACATGACTTTGCTCATTTGCCTTCTGCCATGATTGTGAGGCCTCCCCAGCCAAGTGGAACTATGAGTCAGTTAAACCTATTTCCTTTATAAATTACCCAGTCTTGAGTATGTCTTTATTAGCAGTGTAAGAACAGACTAATACACAATAGGCAAAAAGAAGGAGTTTCTTTTCAACCTGCTTTAAATTATTTAGTGGTTAAAGTATTTAAAACCTTTTCTTCTACTTTTAGGAAAACAATGAGAAAGCTGAGCACAGGTCCAACTTGTTATTCAACTAAAAATTATTTAAAAATATTTGAGTATAGACTTATGGCACCAGCCAAGACAAAGCATGCTCACCAAGGCCTATTTCTCCTACTGATTGAAATTGAAACTCTGGACATAAAAAGCAACTACCAAGGACTCTTAAAAGTGAGCAATAACAGATGGATTGAAAGCAAAATCAAAATACCAATAGTGATCTGTAACAGGGGTGGGTTTAATGGGCTTTTTTTTCTAACCCATGGTGTGCAAAATTTCTACTTTTTCTAGCTAGAGAACCAGGAATGTGGCCTCTGTAAGATGGATCATATATAGAGAAATAATCCTTTTGTTTTTCGTTTTCCCACTCAGCTCTACCTGGAAGCCAGCTCTAGTTCTGAAGCTGCTGTCATGATACTAGCTGTGTAGTGGCAGCAATGCACAGGCACTTAGAACTTCGAGAGAGAGAATCTCTCTCATCATCATTTCTCTTTAAAGAGAAATGGAAAGTATAAACCGATATCCCTTTAAGAACATATATAAAAATATTAAGAAATCAAATCTAGCAATATTTTAAAAAATACTTTACAAACAAGTGATTTATACCACGAATGCAAGGCTGGTTCAACATTCAAAGCTCAACAGATATAACTTTCAATATGATTAGGTAGATGAAAAACAAACGTCATTCAGTAGATGCAGCAAAAGCATTTGACAAAATTCAACATCTATTCTTTATAAAAACTCTCAGCAAAATTAGAAAAGAAGGGAACTTAACCTGATACAGGGCATCTACAAAACAAACAAACAAACAAAAAAACCAAAACTGCCACTAAATTACACTTAATGGCGACTCTCTGATTAATTTCAAAACTGGGTCCAAGGCAAGAAGTTAGCTCTTCTACCACTTATATTCAACTTTATAATACTGATGGTCCTAGCCAGATCAGTAATGTGGTAATAAACATCAGCAACATCCACATCAGAAAGGAAGAAACAAACCTGTTTCTATTTTCAGACAACATAACAGTCCACATAAAAATATCCAAAATAACCTATTAAAATGCTCAATATGTGAGTTTAGTAAGGTGGTTGTATACAAACTCAATATTTCTATATATTACCAAAGAACGTTTAGAAATGGAAACATACAAAAATTATCTTTTAGAATGACAAAAAATAAAGTGTTTATGAATTTACAAAAATATGTGCACAATTGGTATTTTAACAGCTACAAAACATTGATAAAAATTATAACATTAATAGAAGGAGAGATACATGGTATTCATGAAGTTGAAAACTCAATATTCTTGAGATGTCGATTCTTCCCAAATACACTAATTAAGTACCAAAATTAAGAGCAAATCAAATGCCACAAGGATTTCTTGGTAAATATCAACAAATTAATTCTAAAATGTGTAGGGCAAGGCAGAAAAATTAAGATTAACAAAAGCAATTTTTAAAAAGACCCAAGGTGGAGGAATCAAACTATGTGATTTAACAGTTATTTTTTAGCATCTCTAATAAGACAACATGTTACTGGAGAAAAGATAAAAGAAACAGAATGGAACAGAATAGAAAATTCAGAAATAAAATTACACAAATATAGTTAACTGATTTTTGAAAAAGGTGCAAAGGCAACATAATGCCATTTCCAACAAATGGTGCTAGAACTATTGGACATCTGTATACCAAGAAATGAATCTCAGCTGATATTTTACATAGCACACCAGAAGTACTTCAATGATAACTATAAACTTTTAGAAAGAAACACAGGAAAGAAAGTTTGTGACCTTAGGATTAGTCAAAGTGTTCTCACATGCAAAAACAGCAATCTGTTAAAAAAATAAATTGAGCTTCATCCAAATTAAAAATTTTTGCTCTACGAAAGATGCTGTTTAGAGAATAGACAACCCATAAACTAGAAAAAATATTTGCAAATCACACATCTGATAAAGAAACTGTATTCCGAATATGTAATATTCCCAAAACTTAATAAAGAAACCATCAACCCAACAAAAAATGAGCAAAAAATTAAACATATTTCAATTACAAAATATTGATAATAGATAAGCACACAACAAAGATGCTTAGCATAATTAGTCATCAGAAAGTACAAATTAAAATTACAATGAGATACCACTACATACTGTCATAATGGAGAAAGTTATGACAATACCAAGTACAGATGTGAATGCAGAACAACTGAACTTTCTGGTATGTTAGTGGGAATGATGCCAAGTCACACAGTCACTTTTGACAATCTTTAGACAGCCTATGTTGATGTTTAGCATACATTGTTTATATGACAATCCCATTCCTAGGTATTTTTGCTCCCAAAATGAAAACTTGTCTTTTGACAACTTGTACACAAATGCGTACAGCAGCTTTTATTAATAAACAAACACGGTATATTAGTTTGCTATGGCTGCCATGACAAAGAATCACAAACCGGGAGGCTTAAACAACAGAAGTTTATTTTCTCTGGAGGCTAGAAGTTCAAGATCAAGGTGTTGGCAGAGTTGGTTTTATTCTGAGGCCTCTTTCCTTGACTTATAGATGGCCTCTTCTATTTGTCTTCATGAGTTCCCAATCCCCCCCATAAGTGCCTGCACTGTTTTTTTTTTTTTGTTTGTTTGTTTGTTTGTTTTTTGAGACAGGGTCTCGCTCTGTCACCCAGGCTGGATTCAGTGGTACAATCATGGCTCACTGCAGCCTTGACCTGTTGTGCTCAAGTGGTCTCCCACTTCAGCCCTCCAAGTAGTTGAGACCACTGTGTGTGCCACCACACTTATTTTTTTTCTGATTTTTTTGTAGAGATAGTTTCCTGCTATGTTGCCCAGCCTGGTCTTGAATGTCTGGGCTCAAGGGATTCTCCCATCTCAGCCTCCCAAAGTGCTAGGATTACAGGCGTGAGCAACCATGCCCAGCTATCTCCTCTTCTTGTAAGAACACAAGACATATAGGATTAGGGCCCACTCTGATGACCTTATTTAACCTTAATTACCACCACAAAGACTATCTCCAAATATAGTAACATTATGAGTACTGGAATTTAGGACTTCAACATAGGAATTTTGCGGTGGGGGTGGGGGGTGCACCACAATCAGCCCATAGCCTGGAAAATCCTAAATGCCCTCAAACTGGCGAATGGATAAATGAATTTCAATATGTCACAGTAACAACTGATACACACAACAACGTGGATCTACCTGAAATACCATGAGAAAGATGCCAGACTCCAGACGCTGCTTGCTGGATGACTTCCTTTGAAGGTCATTCTAGAAATTGAGTTGCTATAGGGACTGAGAGGAAGTTGATGGTTTTCAGGCATTAGAGGAGAGTTTGACTAGAAAGGGATAGGATGAGGGAAAATTTGAGGGTGTGGAACAGTTTTGAGATGGAGTCTCATTCTGTTGCCAGGTTGGAGTGCAGTGGCCAACCTCAGCTCACTGCAACCTCCGCCTCCCGTGTTCAAGCAACTCTCCTGCTTCAACCTTCCCAGTAGCTGAGACTATAGGCATGCACCCCCATGCCCAGATAATTTTGTATTTTTAGTAGAGATGCGCTTTCTCCATGTTGGCCAGAATGGTCTCGATCTCTTGACCTCATAATCTACCCACCTCGGCCTCCCGAAGTGTTGGGATTACAAGGGTGAGCCACCACACCTGGCCAGAATTGTTTTAAATTTTAATTTTGGTGGTGGTTACATGACTATGCATTTATCCAAACTTACAGACGTGTACAACCAAAACATGGATTTTATCCTATATAAATCACATAATAATTCAAACACTTCTAATGGGCTTTCTAAAAATATTTATGAATGTCCTTTTATTCTAAAAATAACATCAGTACTAATCAAATTCTGTGGAAAATATATATACTTTAGCAAGTAATAGAAATGAATCAGAATAAAACTACTTTCAAAAGAAATATATTTGAAACAGCCATGTGACCTCTTCTCTCAGAAACAGAACTCGGATCATTATCTTAAAACTCAAGAACGTATTGGTAGATAAGTGTGTTTCATTTTGAAAAATACTCCCCATTACCCTGCTGTCTACTCAACCACTTCTAATTCATTAACCTCAAGGAAACCTGGTTAGCTTATGTAGGAGAATATACATTTATATAAGGGCATACTACATTGGCTTTATGGAAGGCTATCTTTATATCTATATAGTCTCTATCTCTGTAAACTGGGAGTGTATCTGTGTGGCCAGGTATACCTAATCAGGGAATGGGACAGAAACGGAGGGAGGATAAATTTAATTCTTCTGTAATGACATGTCAGTTCTCTCTCATTTATCACAATGGATTACTCACAGCATTGTAGGGTTTTCCCCTTTAATCTTCTGATTACTCTAGGAGCAATTTATTTGCCGCCATTCATCTAATTGGTATAAATTCCAGTCGTGGCTTCCCTCTTATCCCGGGAAAACACTGTCAGGCAGAGATGAATAAGGAAAGGTAGAGTGGAACAGATTAATGCTTCCACTCTTGGTGTGGAAGTCAGAGCCAGGGAAAGAAAAAGAAGGTCCTGTGAAGGTCTGAAGTAACGTTCTGCATGTGAGTATGTGTGTGTGCCTGTGTGTGTGCACACTCATGCAAGTGTGAAGGCGCTGGCCCTGGGGAATCACACGTGGGGTGGGAAATGAGGCCCTGCCATGAATTCCTCTGTGTTGCTGTGCACATGTCAAAGAAGGACAAAGAGCTGGAGGAGAAGGCTCTGTTTCTATACTCTTTATGTTTGAGGTAGGAAAAAATTATGAAATCTTACCATTATATTTGGAAACATTTGTTTTCCAGTAAATGGCTACTTGACATAAAGGAGCAGACCAATGATCTATACTGAAATTGAAAACCCCACAAAAACAAGTTTATAGCTTTTCCATATAACCCGATACTAAACATTTTGAAGGAAGAGTTGTTTTTCACATTACCTTTAGTTTTTATGCACTCCTTAGAAGTAAAGCAACAATGATACCAAATGTTCTCTCAAAGATAACCCATCTTGCTCTCTTGCTCATTTATTCTTTCTTTGGGCAAGTGGCTTTTTTTTGTTTTTTTTGTTAATTCTTCTTTATACTTATTTAAAGTGTCTTACTTTGGTCTCCTCAAGAATAACCTTTATTTCTCTGGACAAATGTAGCAGTGAAAAAAAAAATGACATGCCCAGGAGTTATATTTTAGAGTTTGATACCATGGTAGATATTTCATTTATGATTTCTTGTATATGGTATTTCTGGAGGGTCTCTTAATATGTCCCTAACATTTCACATTAAAATAATTGGGTTCAAAAGTATGCCAGGTCACAAGATAAAAGTTCTTAAATCTATTACCCTATATTAAATTGTATATGTTGTGTGAAGACAAATGTCTAAGCTTATCATATGGAGGATAAGTCAGACTAATTGACTGACAGAGGAAAGTCAAGCCTGAAACATGCTTAGTCAACAAAGAGACATTAGCTTTAGTGCTGTTTATAAAGATATCCACAAATATATATTCTTTAGAGAATTTGTTGTAACAGTTATACAGAATATATGTAGACACTTATTTTCCCTTTGAATACAAATTAAAAACAAGAGTTAAAATTTGAGCAAACCTTGATGGTAGATAACACACAAGACTTTGTAACTGTAAGATTGTATTCATGTCAAAACATACATTGACAATTAAATATCATTATTTAAAATGGAGACAAAAAAATTCTTTTCTTTCATGTATCTATCACTACTTCCTGGAAAGAGTAAAGATATCCACAAAAAAGAAAAGAGAAGTAAAATTATTTGAAATGGAAATTTAAAAAGGTACCATGTTGCCATTTCATAATGACAAAATGCTGGTCATTATACACTTATCAGTTGATGTTTCATCAATTTAGTTTTGAATACACAAAATGATGGTAATAAACTTAATATTTTGGTTGTGAAAGGAATATTAGCAAATAATCAGTGTGAAATCAGTTTTGCGGCACCTTTTATGTAAATAGGCATAAATGCTTTCATGTAAAAACCCTTCTCCTTTCTCCTTAGCTATCAGGAATAGTCTTAATTATACTTTCTATACTTGAATATAAAACATTTCCCTACTGGCTTTTCAACCTATACTATGCTCAGATTTTTCACAACACATACATATATATACACACACACTTGTACATACATGCACATGGACACAAATGACTGTTACAATCCTATGATCAACATCTACATATCACCTGCTTTCTTTCCCAATTTTTCCTCCATGTTTCCACAAAATATCCACTTCTGCTTTTTTAAATCATAATCCACTATCATTTGCCTTCTCTTGTAGCTTGACTGAATTTCTTTCTCTAAGCTCACCAATGATTATGCAATATTCAAATTCGATGAGCAGTTTCTAAGCAGGTCTTACAGAATTTAGCATTTGACACTCTTAAACCCTTTCTTCTTGTTCTCCAAGAATTATCTTTTCCATTAGTTATCAAGAGACTACTTCCACTTAGATTTTCTGTTTCTTTGACCATCACTTCTTAATCTACTTCCTTACTATACGATTCCTCATCCATCTCTTTAATATTATCTTCAATCTTCTATCTGGTATATTTTTATTTTTTCATATGTTCTGAGTTACCTTATCGATAATTATTACTTCAGTTATGCCTTATAGGCTGATGTCTCCGCAGTCAAGATTTCTAGCTTACTCTTTTCATTTCTAAATTCTCTAACTCTTTGAACCCCTGGATGCTCTTCAGAGAAAACTAATTGTTTCTTTCAACAAAATTGTTACCTTCCACTCAAACTCTTTGTGTAACACTAACTTATTTTTCTTCCTTAGAAACCTCTTATTCAAATTTAGGCTATTGCCTTCATTGATTTCTCTCCTGGATTAATTTTACAGCTTTTAGTCTCATTGTTTCTTATCCATCTAATCATGAATTTCTTCAGGATGAAATCCTTAAATTATCTACTATGGTTTTAAAAATAAATTTCAAGGTACTTAGCATTGCATTCATATAAACTTTTATCATCCTCCCTTCAAAATAGTTTTCCCTTTAATGACAAAGGTATTCTTGGATTTTGTTGGCTGGACAAGATTCTTTATGTTGATGCATTTCTTCATAATCCTTTTTCGTGGATTAGTTATTCCCCATTGTTGCCTACCTGAAAATTTGCTAGTTTTTTACAACTCATCAAAGTTATCACCTTTTTTTTGGAAAAGTTATTTGAAGTTCTTGCCCTCTGTATTTCTCTTTGTATTTCCAAAGTTTGTGTAGCACCTTGCTATAGCACTTATGCGATAGCATTGTTGATGTTTCATTTTTTTTTTGTGGGGCAGAGGGCAAAATAAGTCTATCAAGAAGAAACATCTAGTTGCTAACTGATGTTATTCAAGAAAATAAGTATAAATAAGTAATTTCCCAATTACTTATTCTCCAATTTACAGAATCTTGTTTCATTTGCAGCAGCAATGTGCCTGGATCACATCTTGATTTCCCAGGCTTTCTGGTACCTACAGAGAGAGGGTCATATGGGCTGATAGACTTGTGCCAAAGAGATGTGACCCAAATTCTACTTGGCATGGGTATGAGTAAAGAGAAATCTCAGCTGTTGTATGCCATTTGCCTTTGACTTTTTCCTACCTTCTCTGGATCATAAAAGGAATGTAGGTAGATGAAGCTGCCATGTTGTGATGATCAGAAAGACAGACACATGTAAAGGATGGCAGAGTGAAAAGGAAGGAAGTGCTAGTTTTGTGATATCATGAAGCCTCTATATTAGAACTATATTGCCAATCCTGACCCCTTATTTATTAAAGCCACCATATTTGGCTTTCTATTACATGTTGCAGCCAAATAATTCCAAGTGAAACATTTTGCCAGTTGGAAAGGGAGCTCTTCAAGGCAGGTATATTTTATTCAATGATTAGTCCAGTACCCAACATGCAACAGGTGATACATACAAGTTTTTGACTAATTGTGTAAATGGACATATATTATCATGATGATTCTTTAGGAAAGATTCCTTTTCCTAGAATCAGGACATCGAAAGAAAATGTTTAAATCTGAATGGACATATGACAGCAAAAGGTTATCAGCAGCCTCAGAAACTTTCCTCTCCTTATTTGGATAAAATACATTTACAAACATGAGGAGACAGTGAATTATTAGTTAGAATATTGAGGTCAAGTCTACAATTTTCTTATCCTTCAATTATCCCTGTAGCCTTAGAGAACTAAAATGAGACTACTATTGCTTGGTTCCAATTAACACAGATAAATTATTGACCCTTGTCATTTAAATTACAAACTACTAAATGGCAAGTACCAATTTTCCTCTTTAAATTCTGAATGTTTAAAAGATATCTGTGGGTCTTTTTTTTTTTCCTTTAGAGAAAGTTTTACTTATGCATTTCTAGTGGAAAGGAAATAGCTGCCCATCTGCCAATGACTGAATACCCTTAAATATGCCATGATAGAATAATTCATGGAAGCTGCAGAAGGGCCATTTCAGATTTTTAGCAAAACATGATCAGTCTGATTTTTGAGTAGACCTTTCTTGTCAGGTAGTTAATAAGGTCTTGCATTCAAATTCCAGAAGTCTCAGCATAGGGAAGCAGAACTGCTTAAGATGAAAATGAGTAAAAATTCCCTTCCACTACCTGGTGTTTAGTCTGTGTCTCTATTTGCATGTATTTGGAGGTGGTGATAGCTTGTGTGCTGAATGTAAGATAGAGCCAATCCTGTGTTTTTCCCTATTCTTCAAATCTCATCTGAAACGATCGAAAGATGTCAGTCTGCAGCTTTTCCCATTCATATAACTAGAGTAGTCTCTCTTTGCTGATCACCTCATTATATGGATACTGCCACCTAAATAAATTTTTCATATACCTATGTATCTTTTATTTTTTCTACTGGATATATTATATTTATCATTTCTCTGCTTCCTTATTCTGCATCTGCCACTGTTTTGTAAGTTTCTTAGGTATAGGGACTAGTTCTAAACTAATTCAATGTATATTCATAATATACAACATAGTATAAGCCACATACACTATCTTATAGTGATTGATCAGATAAATCAAATGAAAGAATCAAAGAGTACCATAGAAGATATCTAGCTCAAATATTATTTTTATTGATTAATCAACAAAATCAGCATTTAATAGGTTTAAGAAATAATTTTCAGATTATTCTTACCTTAAGAGTCCTGAAAGACTACGGTAATGGGGAAGACATATACAAAATTTAAGATGATCAGAAGGTAGATAATGATACTCAAATTAAACCTGTCATTGTTTTAGTGTCTCATCATTCTATAACCCTGGCTTCTATAAGTCTGGTATTTTGTTGAATCTAAATTTTCATAGTCATTTTTCATCAAAAAGAATTTTAGATAGTCACTAAAAGCCTAACGGAAGAAATCATTCATGAGAGGATTTTCAACTGAGGGGCAATTGAAGGAAAGAGTTTGAATAGAGTAAGACCACAACAGTTTCAGTGAGACAGTGAGAGATTACAAAGATCTGATGATAGATGTGTTGATGGAGACATGTACAGTTGCTTCTGCCTATAATCCTGGCACTTTGGGAGGCCAAAGTAGGCAGATGACTTGAGTTCAGGAGTTTCAGACCAGCCTGGGCAACATGGCAAAACCCCATCTGCACAAAAAAAATAAAAAGGAACTGGGTGTGGTGGTGAGTGCCTGTAGTCCCAGCTACTTAGGAGGCTGAGATGGGAAGTTTGCCTGAGCCCAGGAGTTCAAGACTGCAGTGAGCCGAGATTGTGCCACTGCACTCCAGCCTGGGTGACACACTAAGACCCTGTCTCAAAAAAAAAAAAAAAAAAAAAAACCAACATATTGATACATACATAGAAGGCGCTACAAGAAAACAGCAAGGCAGCAAGATAAACATTTGAGAGCTGTGATTATGAGGGTCTGTTTGAGAAACCATGTGGAAAAGATGAACTAAGGAAGAATTTTTTATATTTCATAGTAGAGATGTACATTAGGAGTAATTTACATACGATGGCTATTACACTATTGATAATTAATGTTGAACAGGTAATCTTGGCAGGTCTAGAAGTGGCCTGGTGATACTGACAAGTATGATGCTATTAAAGGACAATAGAAACAGAGTAGGATGAGAGAAAAAAGTTCAAGAGGAGATCCAAAGTAGAAATATGTTTCTACATATAGATTTAGTTGAGTATTTACTACCACAGGAAATTTGTCTAGAATAGGATTGCGAATAGTCAACATGAGAGTCTCTGATCACATGTGAGGAAACAAATTTTAGTTGAATGCTAGAAATTAAAATTATTTTGTGGTGATTTACAGTTTATGTGGTGACAAAGCAAAGACAGTGATTGTAGAATATTCTAAGTTCTTCATTGCATGGAAGGGCTGACATGATAAGACACTGGAGCTCAAAGGCCTAGGGTAAAATCCCAGCCCTGCAGGCTCCTTTCTATATGGGAATGAGCCTAATGATTTCGCAGGGCATTAATTTTAATAATGTCTAATGGGAAAGATAATAATGCATTACTTGAAGTATGGTTTTCAGAATTAAATTACTGTCGATACATGTGAAAACAAGAGGTATCTAGAAAATCATAAGTCCTCTAAGGATATTTTTCATAAGTACCCTTTTATTACCCATCACGCAGTTGACATAATAAATTATAATATTCTTTACTGCTATGTATAATTATTGTTGATGTGGAGTTTTAGAATGAAGGAATTTCAAGAAAATATGTAAAGAACAAGGCAACAGAGCATAAGAGGTAACAGCTATGACAAAGGAAAGGATGACTAATGGAACAAAGTGGCTGGGTTGGAATACACAGGTCAGATGCAGGAATTAGCTCTGGAAAAAGGAGACTTCTCTCTTACTTTGAAATTGGAGGGAAGATTATATAATAGGTTAAGAGGGTGAAACTTTCTTATGGAGAAAAAGAGCAATTTGGACAAATTAGTATTGGATGGATTTAGGCAATTTAGAGAACAAATCTGCTCAGGCATTTTGTGGTGAGTCTCTGGTGATACTGGGTTTTTCTGAAAAGAGAAAATGGTTTAGAGCAGCATTTCTAGTAATGAGGTAGAGCTTGAGCAATGAAGTTGATTAAACCATTTGGTCAATGTGTTACATTTTATTCTGTACAGTGCCTTTATCTCTAAGCTTTAATGCTCACATATATGGGGTACACTGTAGGACCTGAAATATATTTTCTGTTTTTTAATCTATAAAATAATCCATACAGAGCAACAAATATTTCAGAGAAAGGCAAAAAATAATATTTTCTAGAATATTCTGTCTTCAATTATTGACAATTACAACTATCAAGTCTAAGACTAAAGAAACTCAAGGAAGTGCATATTAATTTCTCAGAGTAATATGCACAGTTTTTTAAAAAGTGGCCTTACATTATTCTGGAAGTAAGTCTGCAGGGTTATTAAGAACTCTTTCAAGTGCCCCAACACTGAGAAAAGTCGATGTTCCTTAATATTATAACCTAGGCATATCACAAGAAACTGTCCTAAAAATATACATGAGCTCAGAAATAATTTGTATTTACCAGGTATACTGCCAATTTGAATGAAAAAAAAAACTCAGCTGTTTTGATAAAAATAACAAACATGCCTAGGAATCATCTTCCTTGAAGGGAGAGAAGGGTCTTGTTGAACTTGAAAAAACTAAGCAAAGTTGGTAAGTCATAAGGGCATCCTTCTGTTTACCTATTCTTCACTTAATTTTAATTCATTTCTGACACTGTCACCAACTGAAAAACGGCCCAACTAAAAAAAACTTATAAAAGTGAGAAAAATTGTGTTCTATCCTAATCCAAGATATCTAAACCAATTTTACAGATAGGAAAATATATTAAGTGAATGATGTAAATACATTAATATAGGTAAAAACCCCTTTGAAAGTAAAGTTTGCACATAACATGAAATACAAAAAGAATTACTGTAGTCTCAAAGGAAGGAGAGAACCCGTGATGGTGAGTCAGAAAGGTGTATGAGCAAGTCATCTGTTGCAAGGTGATGGAAGGAAATTTTTATGCAGGCATTCAATATCAGAGTCAGAGGTTTTAATGATTTTTATCTTCAGAGTTGGAGACTAGAAGATCTGAAATAGGAAATTTTTGGCGTATCCATAGAGCGAATGGAAGCCTTGGCCAAAAACAATGTGCTACAACTCATGAAAATTAGCACACATGAACAATTACCTAAAGAGTTGCAGAAGATGGTACCTTTTCATTCGATTTTATGTGAACTCTTATTCTTCTCTTTTACGCTTTGTATCCTTGTTAACTCTTCCATTGTTTTCCTCAGCCTATAAGGTACTTTAAACATTTTATTGAACTCTAAGACAATTTTTATGATTCAATTCATATATAAAATTGTCTTAAGCATGTTTCGTGAGTGAAAAGTTCAATTTTTAAGGCTTATCAAGTGAAAACCCTCAGTTCAGCACTCATCATATCCAAAATCTATGTGTCATATAATTAAAATAAATATTTTCATACATGTAGCTCAAATGAGATTCTTATATTTTTCAAAATTTAACTCAATCTTTTATTTTTACAAATGTGCATATACTGCCTGTTTAAGTGCTTTACCTTTTTATTTATTCTTTGAAATTGGGGGTCCATCTTTTTTAGATTTTTAGGAGATCCTCACATATTTAAATGAGTTATTAAGTTGATACAACCATTTTGGAAAAATAATTATCATTATCTTCTAAATTTAAACACATAGATAACTTATGACAAACAGTTTCAACAGAAACACCTGAATGTCCATCAGCATAAAATGGATTGAAAAGCTCCATAATTAAACAGGGTGCTACACAAAATGAAAAGGAATGAATCACTGGTACATAACAAATAGATTTCACAAATGTAAGTTTAAGTGAAATAAGCCAGAAAAAGAAAACATAAATACTGTATTCTTCCATTTATATGAAGACCAAGGTAGGCAATATTAATATATGGTAACAGGTGAGACTGCCTTCTTTTTCTCAGCATTGAGAGCCCGAAAAAGATTTTTCTGGGGTGCTAAAAATGTGCCAGATCTTACAAATATTTGTACAAAAGATAATTTTTGTTTTATATATAGGTACAAAATACAAATATGCACAAAAAATGTATTTGTAAATATATGTTGAGCAATTAAGATTAATATATATAATTTATACTTCAATATAATTTTTTTCACTTTTGTTGACATCAGTAAACCATCTCACTTAATACACAGCCATTTGGAATGGTTCTTGATTTAGGTATTTCCTTGATTAAACACCAAGTAAGAACATACCTTGATTCTAAAATACAAAGAATATGATTCCATGAAAGATGAAAAGTATCTGGTATTCTAAAATATTTAAGAGAGTGCTTATTTTCAAGCTTCACTTTCCTATTTTAAACAAAAGTTGAACTAAATTACACATGAACTAGTCCTGAAAATATTCGGTAAATATCAAATGAAAGTGTGAAAGTTAAAGATTTCATTTGTTAATAGTTAATTTGCAGTGCTCTATTATTTTGCTTATTAAACAATTTTATGCTAGAAATAAGTAGACGTCTCTATTCACATTATCTTTACCAAGAGCATTTAAATAAATACCATTGATTACTTGCAAAATAGATTGTAGATTCAGAGCTCAAAACTCAAGCTCTGAGGATGTAATCCAATTAAAACAACGCATAGTTGTGAATTCCCCTCACCAGTGCCTCTAAGACAAGAAGCTCTTCCTCACATCAAAGTGAATTATTTTAATGATCATTTTTTTTCCTTGCAGGAAAAAAAAAATCAATTAAAAAGTTAGGAATATCCTAACTCCTTTGTACTTAAAAACAAAAACAAAGCTTCTGATGCTTCTTTATACCTTAACAATCATGAGGTCTATAAAAATATGAACACAGAAGTTTGGATCAGTTCAATGACTGAACAAAAACACTATTTCTCAACATGTCCATGTTTTAGAAGATGATGGGGTTGTCATCTATGACATCACTGCAAAGATCTTGATGGATTCCAGAACACTTTAAGCCTAAGCCATGTTATACCTGTCACCCCAAATTTACCAAACCGTTTGGATTAAAACTCTCAGTAAGGACCTCTGAGGCACAAAGATCTGGATTAAAACTCTCAGTAAGGACCTCTGAGGCACAAAGATCTATAAGTAACTCATTAACCCCTTTTTCTCTTAACTCTTCAGGTACAATTTCAAACTTTCACCTTTCCCTTTTAGCACTCTACCCATCAGCAGAAGAAAGGCTGACAACTAAGACTAGATTCTCAGATGATACCTACCATAAAGTAACTTGTAACAATGTCATCTATGATCTCTCAGGATTCTCCTCTAATAAATGGGGCATGTATCTGACCTACTTACATAGAGAGCCTCTTGAGAATATAATTTTAAAACATATTCAAGTTGTTAGGATTTCCGGAAAGATAAAAGACCTCTCAAAATCCACTTATTCCTGAAAGCAAAGAGAATACTGGGAAAAATTGTCAAAATTAAGTTTTAGAACTCTGGAAATAAAAGAATTACAATTTGAAGAGCATTTCTTCAAGAAAGAATGCTGACTGTAGTAAGATTTGTGACAATTTGATCTATACTGTACCCCTGCTCCCTGGTAGCCTTCAAAACAAACCCCAAAATCACAGTAAAAACTCACAGCTTAGCAGCCATTCATTGGGATACGTGGATGAAGCAGAATGGGTTTGGAGCCTCCCAAAAGCTCCATTCTCAGTATTTTCATTGTTTAACCTGGCAGTTCCCTCAAAACCCCTACTTACAGGCTGTGAGTTTGACCTGATTTATAGCTCTCTCAATGCAAATAGCCTTTTTCCCCCGGGGTATTTGCCAAAAACAATCAGTAATCATGGTTTAATATTTCAGCTCTATAAAGTGGTAATAATGGTCAGGGCAAACAAAAAGTTGACCTTGAAAGGAATTCTGAGGAATGAGATGTCCATGTGGGGCTTTGAAAAGCCCCACTACGTTCCTGGGAATCGCAACTCATGCACCAGCAGTGCTATGTGCACTTCTGAAAAAAACCTAAGAGAATCGTAATCTCTCTTTGCTGGCTGACCTCGAGGCTCAAAGCAAGAAGTTATGGCTAAGGGTTGTAAACTGCCTTAGGAATGTTGAAAATGTGACCCAACACACACTCAGAAATGCTTGCTAAATGCCGAGAGAGTTATTGTTGCAGGGCCTTTAAGGATTCTTGTGCACACACATGCACATTTTCAGATAAAGAGGTTTCACAGTAATTTTGGAAATTTCTCTAGTTTCTAGGGGAAATACTCTGGTCCTTGGGTTCTCCAAAAATAGCTATTTACCAGCATTGCAAAAAACTGAAGGAAAAAAGAATCAAAGATTTCAGTGCTACATTGATCTTTCAGGAAGAGAAACATTTTTGAGATAAGCCACAATTTAAGTATGTTTGTTTAAAAGAAGTGAGATAAATATTTAGAATACCATGTATATATGCTTCTATGGAGTTATATAAGAAAAGCAAAATAAAATCAATAAGCCTGTATTTAATAACATAATTTGTAATTATGCTAAAATAACATAATTTTGACAGGGTTCAAAATTGTTTTCAGCCTCAGTTATGTTCTCAGCAATCTCCAGCAATCTATTATATGTAATTCCTCGTTTTCCTTTGTCAAACCTCCTCACTGTTTCTACAACCTTTTTCCCCCAGGTTGATCATTAAAAAAAACTTCACAAGCAGGATGTGGTGGCTCACACCTATAATTCCAGAACTTTGGGAGGCTGAGGCAAGAGGATCACTTGAGCCCAGGAGTTCGAAAACAGTGTGGGCAACATAGGACACCCTGTCTCTACAAAAACTGAAGAAAGAAAAAACAGCCAGGTGTGGTAACACTTCTGTCATCCCAGCTCCTCAGGAAGCTGAGGTGGGAGGCTTGAGCCTGGGAGGTTGAGGCTACAGTGAGCCTTGCTGGTGTCACTGCTTTCCAGCCTTGGTGACAGAGATCCTGCTTCTCCCCTAAAACAAACAAACAACAACCTCATCAACAAACCTGTACACCTCAATCCACGAAGATGCCTTGGCTTTATCCTTTACAAGAAAGAGAAAGTGCTGAGGTACAGACCATGTGAAGTTCATGACACAACCCTACACTAACATCTACATATATACAGTTCTTTACTTATAGATTCTTTTAGAGGAAAATGTGTCCCTTCTATTACCTAAATGAATCCTTCCCACTGTGCTATGAAAGCCCATCCTTATACTTTCCTTAGGATTTCTGAACCACCAATTATAACCCCTTCCTATATTTTCAACCTCTACTTCTCTAATGTTGCTTCCTCTCATTTTAGGAAAAGGCTTATATCTTAGGAGAAACATTGTCTTATTCTGAGTCACATTCTAGATACAGTCCTTCCTCAACTACAATCATAGGTCAGATTTTGAAAAGAAAAACCAACTGCTACTTACTTCCACTCCTCAATTTTCTTCTTGGTCGTCTGGTACCTAAACTCAGCTTGGCCAGTCTGCTAAGACTACGCTAAGAAAGTGAAAAATACACACTAATCATCAAGGCCTGAAAAGTAACATATCTTTGATAACCCTATAGTATTTAATATGTTAACTTGAGCTCCTTTAAAACTCTAGATCTTTGTTTTTCTGACATATGCTCTTGTTTCCCACTTTATTCCCCACCCCTCTTATATTGTATCTCCCTCTCTGTTCCAAAGAATTTGTATTTTTCTGAGTTCACCCATGTCCTTCAATTATACTGTTTGTTTTCTTAAGGAAAATTCATCTATTTATATGATATCAATCATTAAATACACACTTATGAATGCCAAGTATGTAAACCTTATCTGCTCCATTCTCCAGACCCTTAATACTCAGCTTGCAAATTCTGCCTGCTGGATGTCCCATAGGTACAACAAAATCACTGGCTGTTGACAGTATCCAGAGCACTCACATGCATTGCACTTTGGCACTGGAATTTTGCCTTGAATATTTTAAAGTTGTTGATTTATTTTTCCCTTTAAAATTATATAGTCTTCATCACATGCCAGAGGAGAAACTAAAAGAAGTCAGGATTTTCTCCAAGGTGTGTAAATGTTATTCAATCTTAAAAGGAAAACTGTTAAACAACAGGTTGACTTTTTGGAACAGGTCACTTTATCCCCTAGGAGCAAGGGCATCATCTAGGCTGTAATTATTGATTTTGCATATTCTTGCTACAAATGACTTGAGGTAGTGTGCATAAATTAATTTGATGTTGTAAACTGTAAGTCACTCATGTTTAAATTCTTTCATCCTAATTGCAGAGAAATTCAAATTTAAATTCATTTCCTCCAATTTGTTTGCATCCTAATTAAATGATAGCCAGGGATAGCCCTGGAAATAGTGAATATATTCATAAAAACACATTGGGAATCCACTGTGGACATGGCCAGTCCGTGGTAACTGACATAATCTGTGTATAGACACTTACAAGCTCAACAGGCTATGTGTAAACAAGCTAGCTAATTATATCCCCAAGGAATGGGGTTGCTAAGCCCTGTATTAGTCACCTTTCATTGGAAAATAAAATATCATTTTGAAATTGAGCATCTTATTGGTAGCTTTGCATATTAAGTAGTAAAATTTTAATTCCCCTCCCAGGCAAAAAATTAAAAGCAACATGGAAAAAAAAAGAAAAATAAGAGGGAATGTGGTAAGATATTTCATTTCAAATTCGTTAATTCATATGTTTCTCATTTGATGTTTTAATAAGCTATTGCTTTCCCTTCACTGAATAGGTGTGTACTGAGAACTGGATGTACTGTAAAGGATAAGACTATTATTATTAATGTCCATGGAAGTTTTAAGTTGCCAAACAACCACCCATTTTTGGTAGAATCTCTAGGGGATAGATATATTTCAAGAGATATTATTTTACTATATCCTGTCTAACATTCACTTTGCATTTTGATAGCTAGATATGATACATGTGACTGTAGCCCAAGATTATTATGTATGTCTGTAAGTGGAGCATGACATAGTAATAAAGATTCCTTGAGTGGCATGATGGACCATGCCTATGTTTTTGGAGAATTAACTTTAATGCTATAGCACAACCTGACTTTCAATTATAGTTTCTAACTCCTTGGTCTTGGCATCTTTAGTCTCCCCTAACAGAATTCTTCCAAAAAGATGACAGTGGACTACAATATCCTTGTATTTCAAGGATATAAAATGCCAATTCAAGTAGCAATGTGTGATCCAAAAATACATGTCACCCAGGACATGAGAATATGAGCAATCAATTCAAAGAAAACTAATTACAAGAGGATAATAAACATGAAAAATCCTGAAACTTGCTACATAAGTATTGTAGTTTTAATTTTTAGTTTCGATTTTAACAAGATGTCAATCCTGTAGGTATCCCTGTGAAGTACCTAGTGCAATATTTAACTATTCTTTTGACCTTATTTCATCTAAATTTAACTTTTTAAATTTTTTTGAGATGAGGTCTCACTCTGTCGCTCAGGCTGGAGTGCAGTGCTGTGATCTCGGCTCACGGCAACCTCTGCCTCCCAGGTTAAAGCAATTCTCTGCCTCAGCCTCTCAAATAGCTGGGATTATGGGCACCTGCCACCACGCCTGGCTAATTTTTGTATTTTTAGGAGAGACAGGGTTTCACCATCTTGGACAGGTTGGTCTTGAACTCCTGATCTTGTGATCCACCCACCTCGGCCTCCCAAAGTGCTGGGATTACAGGCGTGAGCCACTGCACCTGGATACTTTTTATTTTTTTAATGTAGTTTTTATTCCTGGCTTTTTGCTGACTGTTGGCAGGAGTTTACGCTCAGGTCATAGAGGATGCCAGAGTTCCTTGCCACATGGTTCTCTCCATAGGCATTTCACGACACAGCTGTTTGCTTCTTTATGGTCAGCACGAGGATCTTTTGGCTCAAGGAGGACCTCAGCTTTAAGGATTTCACCATGATTAAATCAGGCCTGTACAGGTTAATCTTCTTTGATTAACTCCAGCTAAGCTGAATTGGGATCTTAATCACACCTACAATATCCCTTTACCTTGACATATTATATTAGCTACAAACAAGTCATGGGTTCTGTCTGAACACAAGGACAGAAAATTATACAAGGGCATGACTTATTGGGGAGGGGAGGGTCACCTTAGGCTGAGTCCAAGACAAGGGAAAAGCAGCTTAATTCAGTTTAATTCAGTAAACAGTTGATACTATATTCATCTATGCATCAGGCACTCTGACTTTTACCAACCTACAAATAGATAATCATGGTTTATTTTATTAAACATCCAGATAAAGAGGATCAAGAAAACAAGAGGGCACAAAGCAAAAACACAGTTCCATCTGGCAATGAAGGGACAGAATCTTGGGAAAGATTGGACATTAGGAGTGTAAAAGTATTTAAAAAGTGTAAAGAAGGAATAGGAACATTGCAGAAACAAGGACAGCAAGAGCAAAGAAAGACACTAAAGAGCGTGATATGTCAAGGGCACAAAGATTGCTCAATATTACCTTAGCCCTAACTGCAAGGTAGGTGATGCTGGAGTGGGTAGCAGGAGCCATGTACGGATAGCTTTACACATAATTTTAAGGAGCCTGGACATTATTCTCTAGGATAGGTGATGGCAAATCACTGAAGGGCATGCAAATATTTTGAGAGGCAAGATGGAAGTAGTTTCAAGAATATTGGGAAACTCTGGTTAAAAATAATGAAACTTACCTAAAAATGTGATAGTTGGTGTGGAGGGGAAAAAAACTTGTCTTGGGAAAATTTCAGAACTCAGTTAACACTCAATAATCAATTAGACGCAGGGTCTAACAGAGAGAAGGGAAGTAAGAATGATCTCCAGGATTGTAGGTAAGGGAATAGGTGAATAGAGATATGGTAAAATTAGATGACAAAAAAAAAAAAAGGCAAGAACAAAGTCTTAGTTTCATGTTTCTGCTATAACAAGTTACCAGAAGTTTAGTGGTTTAATAGTAAAGTATTAGCTTACATTTCTGAAGGTTAGGTGTCCAATATCTGTCTCACTGGGTGGAGATCAACGTTTAAGCACAACTATTGTTTTGTGGCGGCTCTAAGGAAGCATCACACAGCTGTCTCCCTTTTCTACTTTTAAAGACCCTTGTGATTACGTTGGACTCACCTGGATAAGATAGACTAATGTTGCTATATTAAAGTCAGCTGTTTAACCACCTTAATTTCATCTGAAAGCTGAATTCCCCTTTGCTAACTTGGCATATCCAAGTTCCAGAGATTCAAACATGAATATCTTTGTGTGGGGGGGCATTTTTTCTGCCTTTTACAAACTTCTATGGAACCTCCAATGATACCTATTCGTGTCACATATGAAATACCTTAATTCTATTTCAATTCCTTAAATGGTCTGTTCACATTGCAGCATCAACTCAAAGTACATTTTGATCAGCTCAAAAATCCCAAATTACTCCTGAAATAGAAATTAGGACAGGTCTGAGATAATAATTATAGATATTCTGGTTACAAAGGTGCAAAGGTCATAACAAAAACAAGATCGTGCATTTTGCAG
The DNA here is from genome assembly GCF_000001405.40 of Homo sapiens. Lineage (NCBI taxonomy): Eukaryota > Metazoa > Chordata > Mammalia > Primates > Hominidae > Homo > Homo sapiens. The sequence continues at coordinate 92,098,322 of NC_000013.11, read as the reverse complement.
GAATATGGAAGGAGCTGAAGGCCATTATCTTTAACAAACTAACGCAGTAACAGAAAACCAAATACTGCATGCTCTCACTTATAAGTGGGAGCTGAATGATGAGAACACATGGACGCATAGAGGGGACCAATGGGACACTGGAGCCTACAAGAGGGTGGAGTGTGTGAGGGAGAGGATCAGAAAAAATAACTATTGCATACTAGGCTTAGTACCAGGGTGACAAAATAATCTGTACAACAAACCCTGGTGACATGAGTTTCCCTATATAACAAACCTGCACATGTATCCCTGAACCTAAAATAAAAGTTTAAACACTAAAAATAAAAAAGGTGCAAAGGAAAGAATAAAAGACTTAAAGGTGTCAAGCAATCTCATAATCCAGACAGGCAAACTCCACTAGGTTTCAATCTGAGAATAATCCTCTGTGGGTTTGGGCTTCATTCTGTGGGTTTAAGTCTAGTCCCTCTGGGCTCAATGCTCTACCTTCCAGATCATCATTCATTTTTCATGAAATATAGCATGCATTTACAGTTGAGAAGTTTAATCAGCCTGTTTCCTCTCTGTAGAATTTTGGAAACCTGATGGCATTCTTTCATTTTGTTCCTTTTATTCCAAGCTGGCAGTATCTCAGTTGATATAACATTCTCAAAGAATATTGTGTGTCTCCCTTTTATATCATGGGCTTCTCGCTTCTCTCCAGTAGAGCAAAGGCTTGTCCACAGATATTTCTTACATAATCTTATCTCTATTTTTAGTTTCCGCTGAGATGATGTAAGACGTCTATGAGTAACACACTTAATCCCTTCATATAGGCTTCTGTGTAACAGAATACTTTGACATTTTGATCTTCCTCTGGTATTAGCAAAAGATTGTCTAATTATAACCTCAGCTTTTTCAGAGTACACGTTCTTGGCAGCATTTATTTCAATGTCTTTTGCAATATAGATGAGAATTTCTCAATCAAGCACTTGTTTCATCCTTGTTTAACAATTCTTCTCTCAGTTTACCTCTTTTTTCCTGCATTTTACTAGAAGCAGCAAGAGAAAACAAGGCTGGACCTTCAACAGTTTTCTAGGAAACCTCTTCAGCTAAATGTACAATTTATGTGTTCTCCTTTCCGCATAACAGTGGATAACAATTCTGCTAAACTTTCTGCCACTATGTAACAAGAATCCTCTTTCCCCAGTTTCCCATAAAATGTTTCTTATTTCCTTCTGAGACCTCACCAGCATATCCTTGAACATTCATACGTCTAAGACAGTCTATTCCTGATAGTTTTGGAATTGTTTAGGTGCTTTAGTTTTTCTCTATCATGCTTCTCACTTCCTCTTGACTCTTTACTAGCAAATTCATACATATCCATGTTTCTACAAACACTCTTTTCAGACCATCTAGGTTTATTATGTCATGCTCCTCAAAGTTCTTCCATCCTTGGCCTATCACCAAAATCCAAAGCCTCTTGCACATTTTTAAGATTTGTTACAACAGACCCTTACTTTCAGATACTAGACTCTGTATTAGTTTTTTAAATGCCACTGTATACCACAGTTCTGAAGACTGGGAAGCCAAGAACAACATACCAACATGGTGTCTGTTAAAGGTCTTCTTGCTGTGTCCTTAGAGAGCAGGAAGAGTGAGTGCTTTGTCCTCATATAGCAGAAAGGAACAGCAATAAAGGGTCTAAGCTATTTCCATTAGCCCTTTTATAAGCTTCTGATCCATTCATGAGAGTGGAACCCTTGTGCCTTAATCACTTCCCAAAATGTACCACCTCTCACTACCATACCACTATAATAGAGATTAAGCTTTAACACATGAATTTGAATACATTCATACCATGGCACCATGTAACCTATATATACACAGCTTCCAGGGAGGGAGAATTATGCTGCCAATCACAAATAGCTTGGGAGAAAACCAATGAGGGATTTCCATTTAAGACATGTTGAATAAGAGTTACATCCAGACTTCCAAATGGGTAAGTCCAGCTAGTAACTGAATAAACAAATCTGAATATTTGGCAAGAAGTCATTGCATGAATGGCAGAGATAGTTATAGGAAAACCCTAAGGGGGAGAGTTAGTGGAGTCGGCAACTAGGGCCAATGATGGGGAAGAAATAAAAACTATATATCTCAGGTGCTCCAAAGCTGTATGTCATTGATACAAACTGCTAGTAAGTAATGAAATTTTGCTTTTCCAAAGACGGTCATTACCCATCTGACATGTGGTGACTGAGCTGAAGGTTTCTGAGATGGTACAGTGAAACACAGAGTAGAAGAAAAATCTGGATAGCTAGGTTGTGGTCCCAACATGTGCCACCTACATGCCTCATGACCTTGGGAAAGTCACTTTATCTCTGTAATCTAATTTTCTACATCAATAATGTATCCACACTTGTCATAGAGAGTTATGAGAATAAAATAATAACATATATGGGAGAGTTCTGTGAATACCAATTGCACAGGTGGATTTTTAAATAATAGATTTAGGAGTGGGTTCAGTGGCTCACGCCTGTAATCCTAGCACTTTGGGAGGCTGATGCGGGCAGATCACGAGGTCAGGAATTCGAGACCAGCCTGACCAACGTGGTGAAACCCCGTCTCTACTAAAAATGCCAAAATTAGCCGGGCATGGTGGCGCACGCCTATAATCCCAGCTACTCAGGAGGCCGAGGCAGTAGAATCGCTTGAACCCAGGAGGTGGAGGTTGCAGTGAGCCGAGATGGTTCCGTTGCACTCCAGCCTGGGCGACAGAGGGAGACTCTGTCTCAAAAAAACAAAAACAAAAACAGAAACAAAATACAAAAATTAGCCAGGAGTGGTGGCGTGCACCTGTAGTCCCAGCTACAAGGGAGGCTGAGACAGGAGAATTGCTTGAACCCACGAGGCGGAGGTTGCAGTGAGCCAAGATCGTGCCACTACACTCCAGCCTGGATGACGAAGAGAGACACCATCTAAAAAATAATAAATTAATTAAATATTTAGGAAAACTATTATAAGAAAAAAGAATTGAAAGCAATGAGAACTCTATTATGGACTGAACGAAAAAAGGAGAATTGGTACTATAACTTGGTAAGTTTATTTTAATAAGCCCAATTTATATGAGTCCCTCAGCAATTTTTCCTGCTCTGTGAATGTATATTCCTTGCCTCTATCTTATCCTATTTCTTCTATTGATAATGCACAGAGAGTTGGCACAAGTTCTATTCTCAAATTGCATCAGGCAATAGATTACTCTGGTTCCCAACTCAGAAAAATCTCATTTTTAAGAAATGTTTGAGCTTTGACTTTGATTGAATTCAGAATATTTTGGGTCAAAAGTCTTGTGTTTGTGTAAATAAGAAAAGCATCTTTGAAAACTACATTTACAAATGGGAATATGGAATAAAAAGGACAAGCCAAAGGTTATGGAACAAAATAAAACACGAAGAGAGAGAAATGGAAACACAATATTACTATATACAATATAGTAATATATTTAAAATATGAAAAACGCTGGCAAAAAAAGCAATATGTGAACAAAAGAATTGGAATAAAATAACAGAATTTGAAACAGCACAATCTGCTGAAAATATACAAAAAAGACAAATTAGGATTTTTCTGAGATCACTGTTTATAATATTAGAACATGTATATTAAAAGGAAAGGTGACTTTGAAATGTTTGGGGGCCAAGCAATATATAGTTTGTTACATTCTGTTTACAGTTTCTTTGATTAGGGAGTCAATTTAGATTTTCTTTTTTGAAAATAATATAAATGTATCTTTATTTTAGACTATTTTTTTTTTTTTTTTTTTTTTTTTGAGACGGAGTCTTGCTCTTTCGCCCAGGCTGGAGTGCAGTGGTACGATTTCGGCTCACTGCAAGCTCCGCCTCCCAGGTTCAACGCCATTTTCCCGCCTCAGCCACCTGAGTAGCTGGGACTACAGGTGTGCGCCACCACACCTGGCTAATTTTGTTTTTGTATTTTTAGTAGAGACATGGTTTCACCGTGTTAGCCAGAATGGTCTCAATCTACTGACTTCGTGATCCACCCACCTCGGCCTCACAAAGTGCTGGGAAAACAGGCGTGAGCCACCGTGCCCGGCCGAAAAGTTTCTTAAATATTTACAACTTTAGGATAATCAGTGTACATTCAAATATATAATGTCCTAAAAATCAAACAGCTACCAAACATTGAATTGAAGTTCCCCGTTATATAAATCATTGGCGTAATAATTGATCATTAAAAACAGTATCTAATGAAAATCAGTTTTTTGACCCCAATATTAATTAAAACTCAAATGATAGCATTATGAGGTAAAGGTTAATTTCAATGACATGTCATTCAACCAATTTGACACAATCAACTTATAATCATCTAAAATTTACTATTTTTATGACATATTTGAATTAAATGAAGAGAAAAAAGCTTTGACTCATTCTTATTCTTTCTAACCAATTGATGGCCAATAGCTGAAATTAATTTCAAACCAATTTTTGTTATTTTAATCTTTTAAACATGTTTTACTCTCAGTGATTCATTTTCTAACATTCATAGCCAAAGCCCAGGCTCTACCCATCTTTGTCTACTTTAATGACTTTCTCAATTGTTGGCATACACTGGGTCTTAAAAACTTGTGTTTCATCTGAATTAACTAATGAAGTAGAATTGCACTTACAGGGTTTCATATACCATTACCTCCAATAGAGTACATTAGAAGTATTAAAAAGAAAACACTGATATTTGTAAACAGATATTTATTTTATGATACAAAGATCTAGAGTTGTTTTATTTTCTGTAAAACTAAGAATAACTTGATAACATAGCTTCACAAAAAGAAAATCCAACACATTTGCATAAATAATTCTCTGATATAACTATGTGAGTTCGTGTATTTTTATATACATGTAGATATACATATACTTGCACATCTATACATATATATGTAACATAAAAGATACAAACATTAGGACTGTTTAATGTATATTTGTCTTGGAAAGAAAAATATACTTAAAAATACTTCTCAATTGGGATTTGTAATAATACCGACTTAACTGATAAACTTGGTGACTGCTTTTCTGTTCTGTCTCCTTTCATAAATTTTTCAAAATACTAATTCAACAAAGAAAAAGGCCTTTAATATTCACTGGAAATAATTTATAGACTTTTCTAGAGTAGAGAAAAATTAAGAAAAACTTTGAAATGGTCTCAAAAATTAGTAAACATTTTCAATGGAAAACTAAATGTTAGTTTAGCTGATTGTATGGGGTTTCTGAGCCTTTTGCTTTTTGTTTGTTTTACCTGTTTCACAACTGTGTAAATTGCAAATAATTCCTGTCCATGAAAATGCAAATTATCCAGTGTAGATTTATTTGACCATCACCCTAGGGATATTGGCTAATTTTGCCTTTATTAAGCAAATTCATTTCAGCATGAATGTCTGCCTATATATTCTCTGCTCTTTGTATTCTCCTTTGAACCAGTCAAAACATCCTATGGCACTCTTATTTATTAATCAGTTAAATAAAATCATGAACATATATTCATTTTACATTTGTATGAGAACCATTATTGTCCTCTCCTTTAAAAAAATTAATTATCCTTTGACATTGGGTTGACATTTTCTTAATACATGCCAGAAACAGAGGATGTCAAGTTTCATAAAGTCAATTCTGGAGAAAAAATTTCTTTATAAAAATTTAACCTCATGTGTAAAAACTTAAGTTTCCATAGCAATGACATTTGATATACATTGTATATATTAATCTGGGAATGATATAAGATTCCAAATATAATTTTATTAGTGAACTCAACTGCTTGATTACCTTCACTTATTTAAATATCTACTTCAATGTTGTCCAGTGGCATTGTGGATTTAGGTAATTTTACCAGGTAGCTGCTCAACTTCTACACTTTCTTTTTGCCCATACAGAACATAATACATTTTATAAGTCGAAGTATAGGCATCTGGTGGCATAATTTTAAATTGTTATCAAATAAAAGCCTTATCAAATTTGTCTAGAAAATAACTCATGATTTACTTTATTTTAGGAGTGTGTCACTATGTAATGAGATACAAATATATGTAAGCATAAGTGCCTGAGAGGCATGCAGAGAGCCTAAGGTGTATGCAGTATGCATAAGAGGTATGCAGAGAGCTTCATTTTCATTGTTGGCTGCTCAGCTGTTTTTCAGGAAATAAATTTGGCCAACTGACACCATTTAAGAGATATATAGCAACAAGTTTAGAAAATTCTCATAAATGGGAGTGGCTAATGCATAGACAATAGCATTGACCTTTAATCCACATAGCTAGCTAGATAGATAGATATTATAGATATATACCTCAAATATATTTATTTAGATCCACTTAATTGTGAGTACTATAAACTACAAATGAAAGTAAAAAAGCAAATCTGTTGGTGTTTTAGGAAAATGAAAGATTGTTAACTCATGGCCTGTATGTATTTGGAATGGGAAGAACGTAAATATCTTTCTCTGGACAGGGTAGAATTGAAATTGTGATTTACAGTGACTAAAACCTGACTGCTTTCACATTGTTTTTTTTTTTTTTTTTCACTGTGGGGGGGTGAAATTCTTGATTGATTTGTGCATTGGGAACTTTTGAATTAACTAAGGATATTGACAAAATACAGAATGACTCCGTATGTGACATGCAGAAAATATTTTGTGTCATTCGTGGTACATTTATCATATTGTCTATAGGTTTGTACTATGTTACTCTACTTCTTAGAATTCCAAGTAGTTCAAAGCCAGCAGGGACTGGTATATTATAGCATATAGTAGCTAGTAGTTGGAATTAAAATGGTATAATAAATGCGTTGTTCATTTATAAAATAAATTTAATATTTTTAAATAAATAAGTCAAAATAAATCATTGATAAAATGAATATCTATAGTTATTTGTATGAATATATGCATGTGTGTATATATGGATGTATTAGAAAATCTTAATCCTCAAAATGATGAACTTTTAAAAGAAATATTAAAAATAATAGAGTTTGGGATCTGTATCTTTTTAAGTAACTGATTCTGTATCTAATGAGAAAATTATCACTTAAAAATTCCAAATGTTTTAGTTTGTTGTTATTATTATTATTTGCATTAGTTTTAAAGATGGGGCCTTCTTATGGTGCCCAGGCTAGTCTTGTTAAAATTTTTATATTGTCATGGTGTCTTAGGCAGCTCAAGCTGCTGTAACAGAATACCAGAGACTGCTGTCTTAAACAGACATTTATTTCTCGCAATTCTGGAGGCTGGGAAGTCCAAAACAAGGTGCCAGCAGATTCAGTCCCTCGTGAAAGCTGCCTTTTTAGACTACAGGCTCCTGCCTTCTGACTATATCTTCACATGGCACAAAAAAGAGAAAGACAGAGAGCTATGGTCTCACTTTCTTTTCCTATAAGAACACTAATCCCATCATGGAGATGCACATGATCTTAACCAGACAAAAATTTTTTGGATATTTTGAACTGATAAAATAATTCACATTGATTCAAACATATCACACTTATTAAAACTCAGGCACAAAATCAAGTTAGTTCATCATTAATTGAGGCACATAATTTTAAATCAAAATACAGCTACACAAAACATCATTTTCTAATTGTCGTAGACTTTAAAAGTAGTTAGAGGAAGAGAAAGCTCATCTCTGTATTACAATATTAACGGGTTTCCCATCCTAGGTGTCTTAATCTATTTAAACAGCTTTAACAAAATATCATAAATTGGTGGATTCTAAGCAATAGAAATTTGTTGTCCACAGTTCTGGAGGGTGGGAAGTCCTAGATCAAAGTGCCATAAGACGTGGTGAGGACCTGCTTCTTGATTCATGAATTGCCATCTCTTCCCTGTGCCCCACATGTTGAAAGGGGCAGGAGTCTCTCTGGGGACTCTTTTATAAGTCTACTAATCCCATTCATGAGGGCTCTACCATCATGATCTAATCCCCTCCCTCTAAGGCCCCACCTGCAAATATCATCATATTGGGTGTTACATTTCAACAGTTGAATTTTGGGGGTCACCATCATTCAGCCTACAGCACTATGAGACCCCTAATATCTGGTTTTCAAAAATGGCAATATATTTTATGCCTCTAGAGAAATATTTCAATAAAAGTTGTACGTATGATGATAAAACAACAAGAAACTGAATTTCTGCAGAAAGTAAAAATGAAATTTTTCACTCTTTAGATAGGCAAATCAGAGACTATACTTCAAGTTTTAGAAAAAACATCAGTACTTTTCATATAAAAGCAGGTACTTCCATACATACTTTTTCACCACATAAGATGAATGTTTTTAACAGTGCCTGGGACATGATACGAACTCAATGACTGTTTATTGAATGAATTAATTGAACAAGTTTATGCAAGATATTGACATAAAATTAAACATTGTCTTCTTATACCATATAGTGTCTACAAAAACTAAGTTGATACAGAACCTGCATTGTAACATGATTAAATTTGAGCCAAGTACATTTATCTCTGAAGAATTTAGAAGTTTATAAAGGAATCAGAGGCTGGGAACTGAATAATTAATGGAAGATCTCTAAGGCAATATTCTTTTCATTGTAACTAATCTTAAATAGTTAAAGTAATAATTAATAAATAATATTTAGGTTCCTGAAAAAATGATTAAATTGAACGTCAAATAGTTTGCATTTCTATCACACTGTAGAATTTATATTTTTTATACTGCTTTACTGTAAGATTTGGTTGAACAAATACATCTTATGATTTCAAGATAAGATATTAAAATATGCCTTTTTAAAATGTAATGCTATATTAGTGAATTTAAAATATGTAAAAAAACCGTGTGGGAAATACTAGAAATGTTATTTGAAATTAACCAATTCTGGGTTTGCTTATTTATTTATTTTTTTGAGAGAGAGTCTTGCATGGTTGCCCAGGCTGGAGTGCAGTGGCCCAATCTGGGCTCACTGCAAGCTCTGCCTCCCAGGTTCACGCCATTCTCCTGCCTCAGCCTCCTGAGTAGCTGGGACTACAGCCGCCCGCCACAATGCCTGGCTAATTTTTTGTATTTTTAGTAGAGACAGGGTCTCACCGTGTTAGCCAGGATAGTCTCCATCTCCTGACCTCGTGATCGGCCCGCCTCGGCCTCCCAAAGTGCTGGGATTACAGGCTTGAGCCACTGTACCAGGCCTATTTTTAAATTTTATTTGCCAAACTGAGAACAATAGCCAATACACATTTTCTATTTTTCCGGACTTGATTCTTAGGAACTTTAATTTCGTACTTCTCCATTCCTCTATAAATGTTAATGTCTTGGCCAGTGACATTTTTCTAGATAAATTCAAAAGCTTAACCTAAGTAATGTAATGGTGGCATTTATGAAATTGACTCCTGGTTCTCTCTTTAAATTCTTTTTTATTGTTTATTTCTGTGGCACCATTGCACTATGCTATCACATTGTTCTTGTTTTATTCTCAATGTTTAAAAAGCTGTATATTCTTTGCTGACTCTTAAAGGTCACTTTGAAGCCTGAAGACCATGACTGAAATACAGTGAAGATTAAAGATAAAACGGAGAAAAAAGGTAAAATTATAAAACCTCTAATATCATTACTCATATATGTGATATATATACACAGAGACGCAATACCCAGGTCCTCCCTGAGAGCTGTGTCAGTGGACAGGACTCAGCTGTGAGCCCCTTCAGACATAACCTCAGCTGCAGAGCTTCCCCCTGCCCAAAGTCATGTCCATCCCAGGTGTGGCCCATAGCCAATGACTGATTGAGGTGAGGCAAGGAGGCAGGTGAAAGAGGTGAGGAGGGGACTTGGGGCCCCTAAGGACTCAGTCATGTCATTCCAATGTGAGAGAACTCCAGTGGGCCATTTTATCTTCAAAGTGCCCTGTGAGATGGGCCAAAGCTGTGGTCCAGGACTTCTTTTCAGCCCAGCTTTTCCCCCGTCCCCCAATCCAGCTTCCTTCTTCTCCTTTTCAGAGATATTATTCCAAGGGCACTCCCTAGTATAGATCCCCATCTCCAGATCTGCTTACTAGAGAACATTGTATCATGAATGACACCGTTCTTCAAAAATATGGGGTACTTTGAGTGAAAGGAGTGGAACGGTATGGAAGAGCAGCTTCGGTAGAGTAGTTAGGATAGAAGCTACTGTACATTGGGTTGATGCATGAGTGGGATATGAGAAAGTAAAGTAGCAAATTGAAAACTCCTTTCAAAAGAAGAGAATTAGAAAAGGGACGGCAAGATTGTAGTTGGGGCCCGGCTGTGGTGGCTCACACCTGTAATCCCAGGACTTTGGGAGGCCTAGATGGGAGGATCACTTGAGGCCAGGATTTGAAGACCAGCCTGGTCAATGTAGCGAGACCCCCATCTCTTTAAAAAAAAAAAAAGTAGTTGGAAGCTAGAGAATAGCATAACAAAAAGAAGGTAATTTTAGAAGATAAAATGGCCCACTGGAGTTCTCTCACATTGGAATGACATTCTAAAATTACCCTATTTTTTCTTATGTCATTCTACCTCAATCATTTTGCCTCAGTCATGTTTACAGGTAAAATAAGAGAGAAGTGGGAAGGGCTGAAGGCAGAGATATGAGACACAATAACAAATGGGGAAAGATACAAGATATAATGAAAGGTATGAGCTAGATCAATTCTACAAGTGAAAAATTTTATTTAGTTAAGAGGAAGGATCACTCATCACCCAATTATAGATAAGTTTATAGGAGGGTGGGACTGGCTACATAAAGGTAAATGATACTTTATGTCCTTATTTTCATTAAAGAGAATATGTCATTTCCTGAAAACAAAAGATGTGAGTTTGAATAGAGAGTTGGCAAAATTTGGTATTTTTTTGAAATTGGCATTTATTTGGGAAGATAATGGAGGGTAACTAATCCACTTAGATGATAAATATTTATTAAATATAAACCATGTACCAGGTACTTTGCTGTAATATAAATGCAATGGAGAAAATCAGATTCAATCTTGATTTGACATTCTTAACGTTTACAGTATTGTGGAAGAAACTATGTAAAGAATCCAGTGTGATAGAAGGTGGTAGATGTGGAAACAGGAGGTTTATAAAAAGCTCTGAGACACATTGCTGATACATCTAACTCAGGATCAGGGCATTAAAGAAAGCATCACACTCTCCCTGAATCTCTCTATTCTGTCTCTTGATAGATCCTGTTTAACAAAGTATCAAGATGGCCCTCAGCACTAAGGAAGAATTGTTTTTGAAAGCATGTGTTTGAACAGTTGCATTTATCTAAACATAATTTTTCACTCCTGTGTGGATTTGGCTTGGAATTGGTGTATTCTGGCATTCCCTGTTGTAAAGCACTTGAGGTGCTTAAGAGATATTTGGTTGGCTGGGTGTGGTGGCTCACACTTGTAATCCCAGCACTTTGGGAGGCCAAGGTGGGTAGATCACCTGAGGTCAGGAGTTCAAGACCAGCCTGGCCAACATGGTGAAACCCCATCCCTACTAAAAATACAAAAATTAGCCAGGCATGTTGGCAGGTGCCTGTAATCCCAGCTACTTGGGAGGCTGAGGCAGGAGAATCGCTTGAACCTGGGAGGTGGAGGTTGTGGTGAGCCAAGATTGCTCCACTGCACTCCAGCCTAGGGAACAGAGCAAGACTCCATCTCAAAAGAAAGAAAGAAAAAAAAAAGAGAGAGAGAGACAGGTTTGGTAAATAAGTGAGGCAAAAGTGGAAGAAAAAAGTGTTCTACAGGAGATCAAATAATGTGTGAAGAGAAAATAAAAATTTTAAAGAACTAAAAGAATCAAGTATTGAAGTCAAAGGTGAGAGGGCCACTGGAATTCAAAAATACAATGTGAATAGCTACAGAAGATGTCATCATTCCTGATGAGGCAATGAATGTGGGTGCTTAAATTGGAGTAGAAATACATGTTATTGAAGATGAGATCAAAAGGTATGAGGCCAGTGTGTTGAATGTATTTTGCATAAATGCGCTAATGTCACCCAGAGTGTTGGCAGGGGGAAAAACATCTGATGGCCTGTAGCCAGAGTTTTCCTTAAAAATGAAGATGTGTCCTCCTGGAAAATAGACATCTTTGAAAAAATGAAGGAAATTAGGGTCTCAAGACATGAATCTCAAGGAGGTGGTGAAGGATTGATTTGGGAGCAGCTCTGCAGGGTTAGGACAATGCCAGCAACATCTGACCCTTGTACATGAATTTCCAGATAACTTAGGTGACTCCTTTAATGCAGAAGGCCACACAGTGTGAATTCCTGAGAGACTATTTACCTTTTATATTCCAGAGGTTGGAATGGAATAATTCACTCATTTAAAAGGCTTGCTGGATATTTCAGGGGTCTCCAAACCCATACTAGTCCGTGGCTGTTAGGAACAAGACTGCAAAGCACGGGGTGAGTGGCGGCTGAGTGAGCGAAGCTTCATCTGTATTTATGGCTGCTCCTCATGGCTCTTGTTACCCCCTGAGCTCCTCCTCCTGTCAGATCAGCAGCAGCATCAGATTCTCATAGGAGTATGAACCCTACTGTCAACTGAGCATGCGAGGGATCTAGGTTGTGTGCTCCTTATGATAATCTAATGCCTGATAATCTGTCACTGTCTCCCATCACCCCCCAGATGGGAACACCTAGTTGCAGGAAAACAAGCTCAGGGCTCCCACTGATTCTACATTATGATCAGCTGTATAACTGTTTCATTATATGTTACAAAGTAATAATAATAGAAATAAAGTGCACAATAAATGTAAGGGGCTCAAATCATTCTGAAACCATCCCCACCACCACCAGGTCTGTGAAAAAAATTGTCTACCACAAAACCACTCCCCTGGTGCCAAAAATGTTGCTCTATTTCCCTTCACTACTTAGAGAGTCTGTTCTTCCACTCATGATCTACAAGGACTAAATGTTTCAAACAGTTCAAGTCTTCACAATATATTTTTGGTAAACTTAAATTTTTAGAAATCATTCACAGTATCCATATTACATTTTACTTGCTGTAATGCCCTATACATTTCCCTTATAATGTTCTTGAATATATTTTTGCAACTTCAGTAACTTTACCCTTTACTGAATCTCAATCTGTCTCTCAATTTCTCTCTTTATCAGCAAATCTAAACAAAAGAGAAACATATCGACTCGTGCTATGGTCTAAATGTTTGTGTTTCTAAAATTCATGTGTTGAAACTTAATCTCCAGTGCAATAGTATTAAGAGATGAAGGCTTTGGAATATGACTGGCAGAGCTCTCATGAATGGGATTAGTGCCTTTATAAAAGAGGCCTCCCAAAATTCCCTAGCCCCTTCCACCATGTAAGGACACACAGAAGTCGCCATCTATGAAGTAGAGAGCAAGCTCTTGCCAGATATCAAATCTGCTGACATCTCATCTCAAACAACCACCCTCCAGAACTGTGAGGAATATATTTCTGTTTTATAATTGTCTAAATTATCCTGTCTAACGTGTTTTCTTATAGTAATGTGAATGGATTAACACAACTTGAAAATGCAAGGTACCACACCAATGACAAGGAAAACACTCATGTTTTGTAACATTTATCTTGTACCAAAGATATTCCAATTACTGTATACAAATATATACCAAATGTTGGGTAAAATAATTTACATAAATTATATTAATCCTGACAACAATCTGAAGGTAGATAATGTTGTCTGCATTTACAGATGAGGACATGGGGCTTGAATTAAGTAACTTACCTCACATCTCAACATGCTAACTGGCAAAGCTAGGATTCAAACCCTGCTCAGTCGGACTCCCATCAGGCTGCTCTTAGCCTGGTTATATTTTGAAGAAAAGAAGTTAAGAAACTTATCCATAAACATGGCCAGGTAGGGCCAGAGCCCAGACTCAACTGACTCTTGGCCAAGACCAGCCTCAACTCTTCCATTTTACCTCTAGCCTGAACTGTTTAAATATTTTTTCTCTTGCCATTTTATTAGAATACATAATGCCTATAAAGATGTGACCCACGTGATATAGCAAGACAACACTCTGATTTAAAAAAACTGATATGTTATATTTAAAAAAAATTAAGTTCTGGGATACATGTGCAGGACGTGCAGGTTTGTTACATAGGTAAACGTGTGCCATGGTGGTTTGTTACACCTATCAACCTGTCACCTCGGTGTCAAGGCCCCTGTTCACTAGCTATTTATCCTGATGCTCTCCCTTCCCCTCCAGCCCACCGGATAGGTCCCAGTGTGTTTTGGTCCTCTCCCTGTGTCCATGTGTTCTCATTATTCAGCTCCCACTTATAAGTGAGAACATGCTGTGTTTGGTTTTCTGTTCCTGTGTTAGTTTGCTGAGGATAATGGCTTCCAGCTCCATCCATGTCCCTGCAAAGGACATGATCTCATTCCTTTTTATGACTATGTAGTATTCCATGGAGTATATGTACCACATTTTCTTTATCCAGTCTATCATTGATGGTCATTTGGGTTGATTCCATGTCTTTGCTATTGTGAATAGTGAAGCAAAAAACAGACACAATAGGAAGGCTTTTATACTGTTGGTGGGAATGTAAATTAGTTCAACCATTGTGGAAGACAGTGTGGCAATTCCTAAAAGACCTAGAAGCAGAAATGCCATTTGGCCCAGCAATCCCATTACTGGGTATATACCCAGAGGAATGTAAATCATTCTATTATAATGAAACATGATGTAAAAATACCTCAAGAGTCTATTTGTATTTTGGTAATAAAAACATAAAATATAATGTACGGATCTTTTTTTAAATTATACTTTAAGTTCTAAGGTACATGTGCACAATGTGCAGGTTTGTTACATATGTATACATGATGCACACATCTTTATATTCTTTCATCCATACCTCTCTTTCTTTAAATCCTTCTGGTTAAAATTTTTAATCACCTCCTGACTCTATATATGTTTTTTTCTTTTCTGGAAGAAAGGTCACCTAGACCTTACTCAAATGCATCTTCTCAATCTTTACCTACCACTCCCCCACTGCCTTTTTGGTTCTGATTTCCTCTTACCATTGTACTGATGTGGAGATATGAAAGAGAATGTCACTGCTGGACACCAGCAGTGTCTTTTCAGAGAAGAGCAATGGGGAAGAAATTGAGCAGACAAAGCTAGAATCCCCATTAGCAAACAGAAAGAGGGAGCTCAGGATAAACACATACATTAATAATT
This sequence comes from Homo sapiens, assembly GCF_000001405.40. Taxonomy (NCBI): domain Eukaryota; kingdom Metazoa; phylum Chordata; class Mammalia; order Primates; family Hominidae; genus Homo; species Homo sapiens. The sequence continues at coordinate 92,083,152 of NC_000013.11, read as the reverse complement.
CTTGTCCCCCAAAGGGAATCTCTGTAAAATAAGTTGTATTGTATCTATATATAGCAGTACTTTAAATATAACTCTAGCTTAAGTATTTTAAGCATCTCCGTGATGTGAACCTAAGGGAATAAACTCAATAAATGAGTATTTATAAGCTCTGTTCACTTATTTCTTGTGGTTTCAGCCACTGATTTCAGAATACGTATGAAAAATATATTTCTTCTGAATATTTGATTTCATGATCCCAGGTAGACACATCTCTGTACTGGGTTTCAACAAGTCCACAAAAATTAAATATCTACTTTTAGCTAGCTATGATTTTCACAAGTTTAATTCTGACATTCAATGATATAAAATATGTAAAATAACCTGGTAGTATATCTGACATATCAGAAGTATTTGGCAGATATTTCACTTCCCTCTTTCTCATAATTGAATAATGGCTCAATAATAAAACTCTGTAGAGAAAAATTTAAACTCTTATTTATCAATTACAAATAGCTTAGGGCAGATAATACCCTTTTCCTTTTTAGCTTTAATGCTGAGGCATTAAAATTGTGAGCAATATATTTATTTTGAGAAAACTATTTTTTTGCTAAGGAATTTTCTTCGTAGAATGTTATGAGTCTTCAAAATAACTAGAAAATCTTAAAGTGTCACCAAACAGAAGTGGACATTTAATACACACCTCAACTTTAATACTTACAGAAAATCACTTGAAGGCTGTCACTCCTCTGGGTATTATAAATTTTAGCCTTGGTCAAATGAAATCACGAGGAGGCTACAAACTTGAACTATATTGCCTTAGTCCCCAACAGAATTTCTTTCCCCAAATTAAGTTTTGGGGTTGTGCCCTACTTCTTTTAATAAAAGAACAGTACAACAAATAGTCATATGAAATCCATTTTGTTGCCTAATACAAAAATATTGTTGAAGAGTATCATAATTCAATGGCCCATATATATATAATGTCTCAGCAACGGCACTTATATCATAATTCAGTACTAGGAAATGATTTCCTTCACAGACAAACTCCCCTTTAATTAAGGTGAGAAATGCTTAAATGATGCTATCTTCATTTTAACATAGCTACTAGGAAACTCATCTTAACACTATAATTACTACCAAGGTTCTTTGGCACTAAATACTCACTCACATTCCTCCTTATCTGGGCCTTGATTTTCTATCTATTTATAACTTTCTTGGATTGGTGTTTATATGTCTACTTTCATATATTTTCTATTTTACACTATTATGTTCATGTCACAGGCTAAATTAATTTGTAACACAATATACGCATTATATACTTCCTGAGACATTTAATCTTTTGCTATGCACAAAAACCATTTTGTTAAAATGGGTTAATTTCATCAGCAAACAAATGGATGAGGGAATTTGGCTCTTATATACTTTCTTATATGTGTCACACTGAATTATACTTTATGCTTTGGTATATGGAACAAAGGGAATCACATATAAAATATCGATATTCTGTGTAGGGATATAAGGAAATATTTTATTTTTAATCTTCTTTCCTCTACCTGAGAGCATGGAAGTGTAGAAGAAATTATTTGAACAGACCATCCTCATCTGGCACTAGTAAAGGGTCCTCAGAGTACAATCAAATTCACGTATTTTTGTAAAATAAAAAAAAAATCTGATCTTCCTAATTGCCTCTTTAAAATCCATTTATTCATCATTATTCAACAGTTATTATGTCTTAGCCTTTGCTATGTTCTGCGAACAAGATGAAAGACACAGGTCAGGCGCGGTGGCTCAAATCTGTAATCCCAGCACTTTGGGAGTCCAAGGCAGGCGGATCACTTGAGGTCAGGAGTTCGAGACCAGCCTGGCCAACATGGTGAAGCCCCATTCTTATTGAAACTAGAAAATTTAGCCAGGTATGGTGCTGCGTGCCTGTAATCCCAGCTACTCATAAGACTGAGGTGGGAGAATCACTCGAACCCGGGAGGCGGAAGTTGCAGTGATCGTGCCACTCCACTCCAGCCTGGGAGACAAGAGCGAAACTCCATCTCAAAAAAATAAAATAAAATAAAAAGTTGAAAGACATATACCAGTGGGTGAGATAGACAAAATAAAATAGAGAGGCATATAGAGGGTTCTATGTAAAGAAAAAACAGAGCAATTCAAAAGTATGTTAAAATAAGTGCTCATCCCACCACTGCACAGTCAAGGGCAGAGATGAAATTTTCCTGCAAAGATAAGTTGTGCTCAAGCGCTGTGATTTAAGTGAAGGGAGCAAGAGCATGGGCCATGGGGCACAGCAGGAAGACTGATGTGATTAGAAGAATGTGTGTAGGATGGGTATCTGTGGGTGGATGAGCCAGGACAAGTGGTTAGAAACTTCTTTGTATTTTATACTACAAATATCACAGGCCATATTAAAAAGAGACAGTAACAACAATTTTTAGCAAGAGAGCATCCATGAGAATTATATTTTAAGAACATTATTCTATGAGATGAAAGAGATAGAACTTGTGTAAGTATAGCAGCCAGAAGATTAATGATGAAGATAAAGTCCAGATCACAGCCGTGGTGATGAGCATGAAAACCTGAGATGAAAATGGGTGACAGAAGACAAAGAATTGTTCAAATATAAGTGATATGATGGATGTAGAAAATCATAATAAGGTTGGATTGTGGAGTGATTCATTCAGAAAATAAATTCAAAAAGGGAGAAGATTTGGAAAACTAAGACATTTTGTTTTGTGGTAGTTCGAGTGTGAGAATTAAGTAGTATATTCAAGTCAAGGTTATGGCAAACAATTCTATACACATGTCTGGAGCTGAGCAAAAGGCGGGAGCACCTGCTTGGAAGCCATCAGCACTCAGGTAGGAATTGTTGCTATGGACGTGAATGGGACCATCCAAGAAGAGGATGTGGTTGGAGAGAAAATAGAATGAGAGCAGACCTGTGGAGAACGATGGTGCAGGGAGAAAGAAAAAAATAAAAGAGCCTGATAAATATCTGTCTGAGAAGCAGGTAGAAAGATAGGGGAGAGTTGTATCATAGAAACCAAGTTAGAAAGGGTTTTAAAAAGAGGTTTAGTTAATAGCCTCCAATTCTGCAGGCAAATCAGGTAGCCCATGTGGAAAATACCCATGAATTAAACAACCCAGTGGTCACTGGTGGTAGTAAACACAATTATAGACGAATTGTAAAATGAAAGGATAGCAGTAGGTGACTATAATACAAAGACTTGCATACAATAAATACAAACAACCTCTTCAAGAGCATTTTCTGTAAGGAAGTTAGAGGTGGCACACTGACCGGGAGATGCAGCATTGAAGGAAAGGCAAGCGAGAGGCAGGTGAGGAAGGTTGGAATGTCTTGTGTTTAGGGCTTGTTCATGGGAATGTAAGCTCAATTGCTACTGCAAAGAAATGAATGGCAAGAACTGATTAATTAAATGTTATACACTGCGGTCTAACCTGGAAAAGACTGAGGAAGATAACAGCAAGAGATGATTACCTGGGAGAATTTATATGAGCCAGAACACCACAGGTGCAGACATCCTTAAGATTTAGAAGCAGGTGTTGTCGAAGTAAGGAAAGAAGGAGCCTGGCATGGCAGACACTGAGTTAATCCACTCTGTGAGCATTTAAATCACACGATGATAGCAGATGTACGTATTATGACAAATACTGCGAGCCACATGCCAAGATACTCAATTAATGTAAAGAAATGCCAGCAATTTGTAATTTAAGTGACATGATGGAAGTAAAGATTTTAGAAGGGAGAGCACTAGGTGATGAGTGGATGTGGGATCTGACTCAAGAAGTGAGATCCTGGCTGGGCATGGTGGCTTACGCCTGTAATCACAAGACATTGGGAGGCCGAGGTGGGCGGATCATGAGGTCAGGAGTTCGAGACCAGCCTGGCCAACATGGTGAAACCTCATCTCTACTAAAAATACAAAAATTAGCTTGGCATGGTGGCGGGTGCCTGTAATCCCAACTACTAAGGAGACTGAGGCAGGAGAATTGCTTGAAACCAGAAGGCGGAGGTTGCAGTGAGCCAAGATCATGCCACTGCACTCCAGCCTGGGCAACAAGAGTGAAATTCCATCTCGAAAAAAAAGAAAAATTAAAAAAAAGAAGTAACATCCTGAGAAAGAAGTGGTAGTCAATGACTCACAGCAGTTAGGAAAGAGTGAGGCCAGGGAACTGGATGACACTGCACAGAGCTCTGAGGTCTCAAGGAAAATCACAGGTGTTTGTGTATTGACAAAAAGGTGGACATGATGGCATGAGGCCCAGTGAAGAAAGGGTAAATTATGAATAGTGTTATCCTGAACATAACGGGACGGAGATAGTGTAGTTTTAAAAATGGCAGCATGCAAAGAGGTGAATGCTAACCCCTCCCCACGTTATGGTAAGTGTCTGAAGAATAATCTTTCTAGGGACTACTAGTGGGTATTCTTAAAGGAGAGAAGCAGTTTTCTGTTTGGGTAGGAAGGTATTGGAAGCAGTGTATGAAGGAATAAAAATATAAAAGAGAGATATTGGAGCAAGACTGACAAGTATGATTAAAGATAAAGAAATGACAGAGCACTTTAAGAAAAAAGAGTGTGAGACAGAACAGAGGCATTTTTGATTGATGAAAATACTAATCATGGCTAACACTTACATAGCATTTATTCTATGTCAAGCATTGTTCTAGGTATTTTACGTGTATTAACAGCTATGATTCTCACATTAACCCCAGGAGGTCAGGCCTATCACTTTACAGGAAGTTTAAGCAACTTCTGAAATATTAACAAGTCTTCTGAATTGCTTCTCTGGTGACAGGAATAAGAGTCGCAGTAGCATCAACTTGCTTAAAAGTTTAAAATGGCGCTCAGAATAAAGGTGTTTTACTGCTTTTTGAGACTCACTGTAAAATGACGTGAAATGTCTTTGTCCTGAATCTCTTCCAGAGGGAAATTGGATGAATTGCTAAAGAATATGGAATTAATTATCCAAAAACACTTTAGATATTTCTCTTTGTACAGGGTATTGTAAATGGTCTTTAGCTAATTATAATTTGGTATCTCACTTGTCTCTCTCATACTTAGGTATATATGATGTATACACATGTGTATGTGTACAATTCAATACATCTATGTATCTATGTAGCTACCTATGTATCTACGTATGCCTGTATGTATGTATGTATATCTATCTATCTGCCTATCTATTATCTATCTCAACCTCTGTATCTACCTAGCTATCTATATCTACGTCTATCAAGTTCAGCAATGCTTGGCATTCTTCTAATATCTGTGGGGTATTTAGGGATTAGGCTATGATGTTAGATTTCCAGCTTCATTTCTTTTCAAAGTCGTCTATTCTTCTTGCTCATTTTCCTTTTCCTGTCCTTAAAGGACAGTTTCTCCTCAATTTAGGACTTCTTCCTTTGCTCTCTTATCCACACATTTGCAGACTTTCTGCACTCAGCCAGATCATCCCTTCTGTGCACCGTACAACCTGTTGACTCACAGTTGCCACTTGATCATTGCAGATCAAGGAGGAAGCAGCAATTCTGGAATGGGTGGCTTATCTCTTGGCTTTATGACTGGATACCTTCATCTGCCATTCAGGAACTCTTTTTATTATGGAGACATGTATTCTGGGAAAATGCTACCATGAAACGGGGCCAACCTCCAGTTCAAGGTACCTCTGCATTTATTCATTCCAAAGCATCCCCTGTTAGGAATTAGGGCTCAGATCACAGAGTCATCTACTCTGTAAGTACAAGGCTGACAAAAAGTCTGTTACCTCACTACTTTTTACATTAGGGTAATATTAACAGTGGAAATCCAGTTCATTCAATAGAACAGGTGTTGATGAAGAGTCAAACTCGGTAAAATATTTTAAGAGACTTATTCTGAGCCATATATGAGTGACCGTGGCACATGACACAGCCCTCAGGAGGTCCTGAGAACATGTGCCCAAGGTGGTTGGGGTACAGCTTGGTTTTATACATTTTAGGGAGGCATGAGACATCAATCAAATACATTTAAGAAATACATTGGTTTGGTTCAGAAAGGCGGGGCAATTCAAAGCAGGGGGTGGGGCTTTCAGGCTATAGGTAAATTTAAACATTTTCCAATTGACAATTGGTTGAGTTTGTCTGAAGACCTGGGATCAAAGGAAAGGGCATGTTCAGGTTAAGCTAAAAGATTGTGGATACCAAGGTTCTTCTGAAGTCTTATAGTGGCTGCCCTTAGAGATAATAGATAACAAATATTTCCTATTCAGGCCTTTAAAAGGTGCTAGAATTTTACTTAATTTCTTCAGGATTGGGAGGGCCTGGAAGAAAAAGATCTAGCTATGTTAATAGAGATTCTTTACAGATGCATATATCCCCCAACAAAGGACAGCTTTGCAGGACCATTTCAAAGAAACTTGCTTTTGGGGTAAACTTTTTTTACTTTCTTCTTTGTCACATAATGTCATGCCAGAGTCAGACTGCAAAGTAAGTCATGCTATATAGGGTAAAAAAAAAATCCATCTGATGAGAATTCATGGTTTGTAGGGGATGACTCCCCAGACTCCTTAAGTAGGAATTTGGGCAAGATAAAAAAAAAAAAATCTGAGCTTAGTCCTCACAAGTTATTGCAAAACAATGAGCTACCAATTTTATTTATTTATATTCTTCAGTGGTCTTCAACCTGTGGCTCATGAATTCAGATATTTGGCAATTAATGTAAAATAAATTTAAAACAATTCAACAAAAATCATATAGGAAAATACAGATAAATAAGAAACTATGAAAATTATACTTTCGCCAGGCGCGGTGGCTCACGCCTGTAATCCCAGCACTTTGGGAGGCCGAGGCAGGTGGTCAAGAGATCGAGACCATCCTGGCTAACACGGTGAAACCCCGTCTCTACTAAAAATACAAAAAATAAAAAATAAAATAAGCCAGGCATGGTGGTGGGCGCCTGTAGTCCCAGCTACTCGGGAGGTTGAGGCAGGAGAATGGCGTGAACCCGGGAGGCGGAGCTTGCAGTGATAGCGCCACTGCACTCCAGCCTGGGCCACAGAGCGAGACTCCGTCTCAAAAAAAAAAAAAAATTATACTTTCGAAACTTTCCCTCTCTAAGACACATGGTTTATCTGATCTCACACAGATATTGAACACACAATTTAAGTTTTAAAATTAATTTTTCTCACTTTAGAAAATCAGCATCTTGATACAAAACTGTCTGCTTTTCCCTTCAAGAATAATAAAGAAATACAATAATCAATTAGCTTCAGATAGCCTAGAATTTAAAGCTTAATTAATTTTATTGATTGGCTTCAAGAATTTTATTGAAATGTCATATATTTATAAATTAAGACTAAGATGATACATATATTATCTACTGATTTTAAAATGCAACAAATCACTTAGCTAAATAAAATTAAAGATTGCAATCTTTTAAACTCACCAACCAGAAATAATAATAAGCCAGTTAAATAAAAGATGTTCCAATAGAGAAATCTTTTGTCATGATATGACATACATTTTAATATGTTACACAGATAATCTCTTATGTATTAAAAATTTAATGATAAAAATATTTGCAATACTTAACTGAAAAATTTTTATTCAGAATTTATCTTGAGACTTGACATGTATTAATACAATTAACGTACCTTATAGGTAAATATTGATTATATTAAATTTTTAGAATTGGGTCAAATATATGTCTCATCTCCTCTGATAACTTAGTACAATCTATGAAATGGTGCTAGAGACTAAGAAATACAGAGGTTCCGTTATCAAGTGTCATGAACTTCAAATGCTGTTTTGTTGCTAATGTTAGAGTACCTCTCTAATTATCCTCTTTAGTAAACTGTGAGTTGAAAATAGTGAAGTCTTTGATATTGCAGACAGTGTCTCCAGTATAAATTTTGCTTGAGATGAGAATCTTTCTAAGAACATTTTTTCGTCACATACAGTATGTCACATGTTGGAACATTCCCACTTAAAGTTAACATGTACTAATATAAAGGCCTCAGCAGAATGTGTTAAGTGGATTCTTTTTGGCATTGGGTAAAGGAATCTTTCAAGCATTCTGTGGATATACAAATAAGAAAAAAATTTCAAAACAGGCATATGCACAAAATTTTTATAACCTATGAGAATCATGATCTGGACTAAACGCAAATAAGTGAACCAAAGTACAATACAATACAAAGCAAAAATAAAAAATAAACAGGAAATTTAATCCTATATGATGCAGAAACTATGTGCCAATACTCAGTGTGAACATACACTATTAGGAGGAAGTTGCTGCTGCACCAGCAGATGGCAGAGTTTAAGCAAAGCTGAAGAAGTCAGGTAGCGATGTGCGAAGGAATCACTTTGATTTTTGGCTTAGTTCCTACCCTCCTATTATTCTGGTTACCATACATTAGTGAGGTGTCTCCAATGAGTTTCGAGGGTTACAAATACCTTCCTGCATATTAGCCTACCTTCCTTAGAACTTCTTAAGATGGGTCATTGTCTCACGATACTCAATAATTCAGGAAAATCAAGAACTGGGATTAAAATAAACCAATGAATTACATACTTCTTTATCACAGTGTGACATAAACATACACTTTTAGACAAGTTTTCATTACTGGCCAACTATGATATCTACCCAATGTTGTGGCCAAAGTTGGAATATTCACAGCTCCCCCACACTTATACCCTCTGTGTTTTGGTTTTCTAGATACATGCTGTTTCTTGTACTTCAAATACACTTTCCCTGTATCTCTATCAATTCACGTCTGTCTCAAAGAGCAGAGAAGTCAAATGGCTCCTGTACTAAATCTCTAAACATATATTATTTATCCTGCCTTGACATTTTTACCAATTCCTATTCTCATTATAAGCTGTGGTATCCAACTTTCACTTCTCTTCCTCTAACACCCCTGACTTTTCTTACCCCATTGTTTACATAGCTCAACTTCGTGCAGGTTGTCCACTCTTGCTCTCTCCTCCATCTACAGCGATTTGGCTTCTGCTCCCACTGTTCACAAAACTTGTGTCCTCAATGTATTCACTCACGATGTTTCAGCCTTGGGCTGACCACACACCAGCTGTTCACAAAATTCGCGTTGAACTGAATGACACTCAAATCGATAAATAAAGGAAAAAAAGGGAACAGAAGGGGAAGCAAACACATGTTTCTTCACATGATGGCAGGAAGGAGAAATGCAGAGCAAAGAGGGAAAAGACCCATATAAAACCATCAGCTCTCATGAGAACTCACTATCACAAGAACAGCAGGATGGGAGTAACAGCCCCCATGATTCAATTACGTCCCACTGGGTCCCTCCTACAACACGTGGGGATTATGGTAACCACAATTCAAGATGCGATTTAGGTGGGGACACAGCGAAACCATACAGGGCTACAACTGACTTCATTGTAAATGAGTTTATAATGGGTAACTCCATATTATTTGAACCAAGCAGTATACAGAGACCTCAAGAAGAGTGAAGAAATATTTGTCTTGGTATACATGGTATACCATTGATGGTAGACATCGTATACCATCAATAATGAAACTCAGGAAGATTCACGTAGGAAAGTCATCATCCTGCAGCAGGCAATTATATCTAAACCAGTGAGATATGAACACTGCGAAGAACTAGACCAAAGATACTGACTGTATGACATAGAAAGTCCAATATTAAAGACACAGAAGGCCCTACATTTGTCCAGTAAAGCCATGCTTGATTAATGCCTTGGAAACCCTGAAGACTGGATCAGAAATCTGTATATAAAATGATGCTTCCTGGATAAAGTTGAGAGAAAAAGAAAGCTTATTGGGTTCAATTAGAAACTAGGACAAGCTATGGCCCTCTGGCTTTTCTGTTGCAAAAGCAGGGCTTAAATCTACATCTTTCTATAGTTATGAATAAGCAAACTGATTTTGAACAATCATCTAACTTAACAAAATATTCAGAATTCAAAAATAATGTACTTATGAAAAGAATTTAACACAAGAAATATGAAAATTAGGAAATTTCCCCTTTTTTACACTAAAAAAGACAGAAGAGCCATGACCTTTTAAAAATCTAGAGCAGTTAGCTTGTAGAGGGAAAAGTGATGGTGAGAAATACAGTCATGAAAAAGAGGTAGGTTTAAGTAAGATGAGAAAACACAAGCAAATCCAAAATCCCAAATAAAATAATTTTGCCTTAAATTTTATTAAGTTTAATAGTAGACTGCTGTTTTCTTTTGTCGGTTTATGTCAGATAATTTTTGCTCTTTTGATTTATTTTAAAAGTAACATTAACTCTTGGTTGGTCATGGTGCTTCATGCCTGTAATCCCAGCACTTTGAGAGGCCCAGGTGGGCAGATCGCTTCAGGGCAGGAATTCAAGACCAGCCTGGCCAACATAAACCCCACCTCTACTACAAAATAAAAAAATTAACTGGGTGTGGTAGCACATGCCTGTAATCTCAACTACTCAGGAGGCTGAGGCACCAGAACCACTTGAGCATGGGAGGTGGGGGATGAAATGAGCCGAGATCATGCCAGTGCACTCCAGCCTGGGCAAGAGGGTAAGACTCTGTATAAAAAAAAAAAAAAAAAAAAAAATTTAGTGGCCAGGCACAGTGGCTCACGCCTGTAATCCCAGCACTTCGGAGGCTGAAGTAGGTGGATCACAAGGTCAGGAGTTCGAGACCAGCCTGGCCAATATGGTGAAACCCCGTCTCCACTAAAAATACAAAAATTAGCTGGGCATGGTGGTGCACGCCTGTAGTCCCAGCTACTTGGAAAGTTGAGGCAGGAGAATCCCTTGAACCTAGCAGGCAGAGGTTGCAGTGAGCCGAGATCATACCACTGCACTCCAGCCTGGGCAACAGAGGGAGAATCTGTCTCAAAAAATAATAATAATAATAAAATTAAAATTAGCAGAAAATTAGCCAAACATTCTTTAAAAAATAAATATATTTATATATACATTTTATTTATTTATATATACATTTTATTCATTCATTATATATACATTTTATTCATTCATTAATAAAATGATCATTTTATTAATCATTCATTCAATAAAATGAATTTATTATATATAATTATATATTTTTATATATATAAATAAAATATATGAATAAAATGTATTATTTTATATACATATGTGGATATAAATACCTATCAATACATATAAATAATATATACATATTTATGTATATAAAATTTACATGTACAATAATATACACATGTAAGTATAAAATAATACATTATATACATATATGTATAAAATAATACATTTTATACATATATAATATTTATATATATTATAATAAATTCGTTATATATATATGAATAAAATATATTATTTCCGTTAGAGATTTAAAGGCACATTGGATAAAAAAAATTGTGTCTTTTCTCTTGAAAAAACATATAAATTTAATGATGTATTTTTGGCCTTTGATTAAAAATAATTAAATTTTATCTGGAAGGATAAATATTAGAAATACTCAAAGAAATTTAGCAGAAGGATAAGCATCATTTTGGAATGACAATAAAGTAGGGCTGCACAAGTGGAAGAATTGACATATAAATGACTTTTTAATGATATATTTTGGTATTTCAAGTTAGAGGGATAAGAAAAGTTTACTCAGCAGATAATGCAGGAACCAGGGTAACTGGTTAACTATTTGGAACAAAATGAAGTTAGATTCCCATTTTATGTATACCTTAAAATAATTGCTTATAGAACAAGAGATCTTTTGCTTTTAAAAAATTTTGGAAGAAAATATAGATGAATAGTTTATCTGAACTTGAAGAATGTATTCAAAAACTAAAATTCAAGAAGAATCTATATGATTGTCCAGCTAACTTTTGAATTGTACTTTTTAATAAATATTTGTAACAAAAAATTAAAAAGGAGACTACAGAAAAAAATAATTGACAATTTTTTTTCAACAGAGTCTCGCTCTGTTGCCCAGATTGGATTGTAGTGGCACAATCTTGGTTCACCGCAGCCTCTGCCTCCCAGGTTCAAGCAATTCTCCTGCCTCAGCCTCCTGAGTAGTTGGGACTACAGGTGCATGCCACCACGCCTGGCTAATTTTTGTATTTTTAGTAGAGACAGGGTTTAACCATGTTGGCCAGGATGGTCTTGATCTCCTGACCTCGTGATCCGCCCGCCTCAGCCTCCCAAAGTGCTGGGATTACAGGCGTGAGCCACCACTCCTGGCCAACAGATTTCATTTCATCTGTAAAGTTCTATAATGTGTTTCACAATAAAATAAAAAGATAGTATGCAAACCAGACAAAATTTTGCAAGATATGTGATAAACTAAACAATACATAGAAAGTTATTGCACCTCAGTAAGAAAATAACTATAAATAGAAGGATAAAATCAATGAATAGTAACAAAAGTATAGGATATCAGAGAAAAAGTATTTGACAGAATGAAAGAAAAAAATGGATGTTTTAAGATAAGTGGTCCGAGATGCATTCATGTGTTACTTCATTAGCTTGTATATATTTAGTGTGTTCTATATGTATTCAACAATTGATGCAGATTCAAAAATAAAAAAAGTGTTAGTTTAGTAAGGAGATATACAACAACAAAAATTTCCTATAAAAGGGGATTACAGTAATGAAAGTATCTAGAAATCTAATTTTAAAAAGTGGTGCTAATTATCTGGGATCATCTGGGAAGACCTCATTTAATAGAACATTTGAGTAGGCACTTGAGGATGAAGATAAATTTTCGGGCAGATTAATAACAATGGGGAGAGTTTTCACGGCAGAGGAGATGACTTTTATAAAAAGAGGAAAGCATGAAGTTTATGTAGCTTGTAAAGTGTGTTGTATTCAGGTAGTAATGCAATGACTCCATCACTCTTGCATTTTTTATTGGAGGCTCTGAGGAAAGGTCTGCTTCCAAGTTTATTCAGATTGTTAGCCACACTTAGTTCCTTGTGTAGGTAGTATCGCAGTCCCCATTTCCTTGCTGGCTGTCAGCTGGGGCCAGCCTTTGCTCCTAGAGACTGTCTCTGTTCCTTCTCATGCTTTATTTGTGGCCCTCTCCAGCAGCGCTAACATTTCAAATATCTCTGCCTTTCCCTCCTGCCCCATCTCTCAGAAATCAACTGGAGCATGGTCTCAGCTTTTAAGGGCTCATAGTGATTAGATTGGGCTCATATACAGTCCTCCTTTTAATATGATTCATGATTCCAACTACAAAGTCTCTTTTGTCAGGTAATACAGCATATTCAGGTCTCAAGGATTAAAGCATGACCATCTTTGGGGGCTTTTATTCTGCTTGCAACATTTACTTAGAGTATAAATTCAAGACATAAGGCAGAATCTCACGGGCAAAAGAAAGTACTATTTTGAACATGCCTGTGGGAATCCTAAATGGGAATTCTATCCAGATTTGGCAGTTCTGGATAAAAGTCAAGGCTGAAGAAATAATTTGATAGTCATGATCTTATACATTTTGTAAATGAAGCCATTATTATATATGAGAGGGTTAGAATTCACCCAGGGAGACTCCAAGTCAGTTTACAAAGTTAATATTCTATGGCATGTTCAATAGTAGTACCACCTTTTATTCAACTGGATATTAGCCTGGGGTCAAGATTAAAAAGAAAGAAATATAACTATCTCTATATGGAGATGCCATGAGGTATAAAGCATTTGTATATAGATGTATATGGAGAAATATTTATGCATATAGAAAATCCCAAGGAATACACACACACACACACACACACACACACACACACACACATGCACGCACACATTATGATAATAAAGCTGTGATATTTTTAGGCATAACTTTATAGTAAGATGTTACATCAGCAATAGGAAACTAATATAATAAAGTACCCAAAACAGTCTAAATAATCTTGAAACAGAAAATTTTCTATCAAACTATATTAATTCAGTGTTGTTTGTTTTAGCATAGAGATAGACATATAAATTTAATGAAATAATATTGAGCATCAATAAATAAACCTCATATTTATAAGCAATTGATTTTTGAAAGGATGCCAAGAAAATTCAATAGGGAAATAGTAGTCTTATCAACAAATAGTGTTGGGACAACTGTACATATGCATACAAATAAACGAAGTTGGATTCTGACCTTATGTTACACACAAAGTTGATGAAAACCTAAATGTAAGATCTAGAAGTAAAAAGCTTATAGAAGAAAACGTAAGCAAAATCTTCATGACCTTAGATTAAACAATGGTTTCTTAGATATGACACCAAATTACAAGCAACAAAAGAAATATTATATTATATTATGCTTATAATATTATATTGTGCACTGAGTTGCATCCTTTTTAAGGACAAATATTATGTTGTATGAATTATACCTTAATTTTAAAAAGTACAATAAATTAAAAACAAATTAAGTTTTTTCAATAATGAAATATTATTTTAATATCACAAAATCAATTATTGTAATTAACTATATTAACAATATGAAAGAAAATCTTATCTCAATGGATACAGAAAATATTTTTTAATATGCAAACTAGGAATAGAATGGAATATTTAATCTGATGAAAGATAATCATAAAATCTTACAAAAATATTATAATTAATAAGGAAATATGGAAAGCTTTCCTTAGGGGATCAGAAACAAGATTCTCTAGTCAGTTCAATAAGAACTGTAAGAGAATTCTTACTTTTTGTAAGAATTAGCAAGAAAGAACTACACTGGTCATTATTTGCTAATGACATTATTGCATACGTAGAAAATCTAAACTAAAATATTAGAACTAATAACTAAATATAGCTATCAGGATCACCGGTTACAATATGAGCACATAAAAGTCTATTTTATTTCCTTACACTACCAATACCCAATTATAAAATAAAATTTTATAAATATATCATTTAGAATCAATATTTTGTTAATTTCATAAAATTAACTGGAAAGTTTTTCTTTTTGAATATATTTTCCAAACTTGAACAATTCTTCAAGTCAGTTAAACAGTTTTAAATATTTCTATCCTGCAACAACAAGGTTCAATCTACATGTGATAATGGATATCTCTACTGATATTAGAACTATCCCATTATTGAAAACCATTTTAGATATAAACAGCAGGCACCTAAGAATGATCTAATTTCCTGTGGTGTTCCTTTAAAAAAATTTTCCAAAACAGGCAAATCTTTCTCTCTCCCTCTCTCCCTTTCCCTTTACAAAGTAATACAGGCTTATTTTTAGAGTTGCAATCAAAACAGACATGTAAAAAGTAGAAAATTAAAATGACCCATCATGCTTGTCTTAAAATTAACTACTGATAATATTTTGGTATATGTCCTTATATGTGCTTTTATACTGTGTGTTTATACATGTGGTTATGAATATATGTTCACAAGTGAGGGTATATAGACACATACACAGATACATGTGTGAGATGGAGACACAGGCAGAGACAGAGAGAAGGGCAGATTATTGCCTTTATTATATGCATGCTATTTTAAAATTGCTTTCATTTCTGAATTTAGACAGCATATACAACTTGATAAATACAGTAATTAGAAATCCAAGAGTTATTTGCATACTTACACATCCCTGAAATATCTTCCTATGTACAGATAAATATTAACCACAATTACCTACACATGTTGCTTGGAATTTTTTCCTCCAGCTGTCATGTTAAAGTGATGATTGACACCTGTTTGCATACTATTTGAGAATTTAATATTTGGTTGAAATTCTCTGATCCTAAAACATACAGCTTGGAAATACACATTTTGTTTGCATACACAAGGGATGTTGCACGCATACCAGAATTAAAGAATTACAATTAGTTGGTACCCAGCTTGCATTCTTAAGCAATCTTTGTAACTACTATTTTTCTTATTAACACTGCCTTCTGTTCTCATTAAGTTTCAACAGAGTACTCTAAGTAATTTAAAACATATTGTTCCTTCATTTAAATGGGCAATTTCACTCTCAACAAATGCCTGGACCTTATCATGAGGTGTGGAAACGGAGCAAATAGTCCCAAATATTTTAACCAGCTACATAAACTTTTGCAATGCTTTTATAGGATGTTTAAAATAACAAGAAAGACTTTGTTCTCATGATTTTCAGCAACAGTGGTTACAAACAGTCTTCTTCTTTACTATGTTTGAATGGCATATTTCACTTCATATATCCTTTACTTGCGGCTACAGCCTTAATATTGCTAGGGGAAAAAGCTTACCTAGCTCAGTGTTTGTAAATGTCAGCTAGCCAAAAGATATTTGGAAGCCTATAAATGTTCACCTTTCTAACATTTGCTTAAAGCTATCTGGAATTAATGTTCTCCTCTTTCCTCTCCTCTCACCTCAAGAAAAAAAATCTGTATACAGAAGTTGACACAAAATATATTAAATAAGGCTGGTATTCAGCCCTCTTGCATTCAAGCAAGAATTACACATGTATGTAAAATAGAAGAAAATATCTTGATAGTATTCTATACCCTTGCTGTCAAATTACCCTTTGATATGTCTGCAATTTTCTCAGTAAAACACATTTTGTTTATTTTGTATTAGGAGCAAGCTCTTGCACGTCTACCAGGATTTATTTGCCTGGTAAAGAAGCAGCACTACACAGAAACAACGAATATAATGTGCGCTTTGCTATGGTTTTAATGTTCCCTTCAAAACTCACGTGAAAGTTAATTGCCATTGGAACACTATTAAGAGCTGAGGACTTTAAGAAGTCATGCAGGCTGTTTTTTTTCTTTTTTTTTTTTTCAGGTTTGTTCTATCAAAACCTAATTTAACAAAATCTGAGCAAATCATCTACTTCCTTTCCTAATATCCCCATTTTCACTACTCTCTCCTTCAGCCACAATGGTCCATTCCATCATCTAAAATTCATTTAGTAAAGATTTACTGAATCCCTTCTCTGTATAAATCACTTTATAGGATCTGAGTAAAGATACAGTGATTAGCTTATGGCAGCCCTTGTCCTTTAGCATGAGGAGAGCAACTTTTCCTATTTTCAAGAGCTTGAGTATTCTGTCGCTAATAGATCTAAAACTATCCAAGTTTACCTAACCAACATTTTTCCTTAAACTTCTGCCTCCCTTTTACAAAACTTCAAAAAAAGAATTCCCAATTTAATCATGCTGTTAAAACAGATTTTCTAATCATCTCCTAGTTACATAAAGTACAATCTCCTTAGCTCATACTTAAAATAATATCTTTTCAACAGTTGAATATTGTTACCATTATCTCAAATGATCATATAGCTACTGTCTTTCAGGCTATTCACAATATAATTATTTGAATATGCAAAACACCATGGAACTTAAATAAAAAGTAACCTACCCTAGTCCCCTCAAAAATCAATTAATAAAATTTGTAATTTCAACAAATATTTTTGAATATTTAAATATCACAAACAAAACTGGATGACTGGAAACACAAAATAGATAAAGGATTTGGTAAATTAACCTAACATGCAATTTTGAAAATGTAAATTTAATTTTTGCTTAAATGATTTTTCAAAATGCAACTTATTAATAAAGGGCATTGTCAGAAATTTTGAGTCTTTTAGGAGTCAAAACATCCGTTCGATCTAAAACTAGGAGACACAGAATGATAAGAACATATGAAGTTTTAGCTAAATAGCCATGAATTTTAAGTTAATTCTCTATTGGTTTAGAGTACTCATTTACACACTAATATTCAGCTTTAGGAATTTAGGGACTCATTAACTTTGCTAAACATGGAATTTAGGGTTTTTAAAAAACCAATTATTTCTTTACTATTTTTATATCCAAGTATACTCTTCTCATTACTCACAAAGGACAAATCTTCACCAAGCCCCAACCCCTGCAGTCAGGGAAGTAATTTCATTCAAGCATCCCTTGAAAGCAATTATTTATGCTCTCTGCAGAAATTGGGGTAAATTTGTTGTAGTCTCATTTATTTTCTGGAGATTGGAGATTACATGTAAAATAATTTGAACACTTGATAGATAGACTCATAACTATTTGGTTAATACATTTTTAAAAAGTAGAGCAAAAGTGAATGATCCCAGCCACATATCAAAGAGAATTTGATCGAATTTAACTGACCTTTCAGGTGCTCTCAAACTGCTATCTTGATTTTTAAGAACACTGATCTGAGAGCTTCTTTCTGCATTATCAAAATTTTCAGAACCAAAATTATGATTAATACAATTGGTTTTATTGAGAATTATGCTGATTGTTGTATTCATAGGAATTACTTTAATTGTTGTTTTCATGCTCTCTGCATAAAAAAAGGATTATTTAAATCGGTGGTAAACACGTATTTGAAGAAACACTCCTCTAGGTATCTTCTCTACCTGATATGTTCTATCTTTGAGTAGTATGCATCATTTATTTTGTCATAATTATTGCAACTCAGTTGCCTCTGAGTTTTGTTTTGTTTTTTTTTTTTGAGACGGAGTCTCGCTCTGTCGCCCAGGCTGGAGTGCAATGGCGCGATCTTGGCTCACTGCAACCTCTGCCTCCCAGGTTCAAGCAATTCTCCTGCCTCAGCCTCCTGAGTAGCTGGGATTACAGGCGCCCCCCCACCACGCCTAGCTAATTTTTGTATTTTTAGTAGAGATGGGGTTTCACCATGTTGGTCAGGCTGGTCTCGAAACCCTGCCCTTGTGATCCACCCGCTTGGGCCTCCCAAAGTGCTGGGATTACAGGCGTGAGCCACCGCGCCAGGCCGCCTCTGAGGTTTTAAAATCTCTAAGCTTCTCCTGTTTCAAGTTTCTTTGTAACAGCGCTTGTCAACCTTGGTTGCACTATCCAAATGTCCAGCCTGTACCCCAGACCAATTACATCAGAAACTCTAGGGGGCGACCCAGATATTGGTAATTTTTAAAACTCTCAGGTGGCTTATATGCACTTACATTTGAAAAACACTATTTAGAGTGAGAAATGATCTCAGGCTATCTTATAAGTTTCTTATTAATAGCCTAATATATTACAAGTGGCAAAATGGCATCAGTGAAACTTTTGGCTATAAATAGAGCTACATGTTTTACTCTAGCACTGCTGAAGTAGTTTTGTAAAACCTTTGTGTCTATGTCCCTATACTTAGAAATTTGAGACATTAAATGGTGATAAAGAACTCTTAGCTATATTTATTCCAAAGCTGGAGCATGCTTCTTCTGGTTTAAAAATGGCAGCTCTCTCTCTCTCTCAGCCAAATTTGTTCATTTAATTATGTACCTAAAACAATCACAATTTGAACAAAAGTGTCACTTGTAAATAATAAAAACATTAAAAACTTTCAGGTAAATGAAAAATTATAGATGCCATTTATTTCAAGCAATTTATTAATACATGGAATTCCTAAGAGCATCATTTTTCATTAATAATGCCTTTACATGAACTCTAAAGTATTAAACTTTTTATGCTAACATTTATGGTACCCGAAACTCCTTCATGTCATATCATTAAGCATTTTAGCTTACTAGTCAGGAAAACTCCTTTTTATGGCTCATTATAGCTCAAAAGAGAACCACCTGATTTTGATCTCACCTTCAAATTTCAGCTTTAAGTTCTTATTTATTTATTTATTTTAAATCTGCTGCAGTGTTAATTTTCAAAACCCTCTCTTGGTTTATTTTTTCAGTAATTTATTTCTTGGGCCCAAAGCATGGTAGGAGTAGATAATACATATTTCCTTCATTAATAATGAGCAAATACTTTCTCAGAAGGTTTCACTCTCATTTTTATCCTTACCATACCATTCTCAGTAGGCCCAGAGTGATTTTGATTTGGACAATCAGTTTGTCATTTTCCTTAGTGGGACCTATTATACTCTGAGATTTCAAAAAATACTTCACCATGACATTTTAAGTTAGTAAGAAATAAAAGTAAGAGTATTAATCATGATTATTAATAATGATGTAAACCCAGCTGGTCTTGGAAATGCAGTGAATCTCATGATTATCTGATTTATGGGACTTGGTTTCATGATATTCACCCATAAACCTAACCTGAAATTTTATTTTATTAGCTGTTGGTGCCAGGTTGCTAGGATCTGAATAACAATGCAAATTTGGTGTATTCTGTTTAAGTCAGTGTTACTTTCCATTTGGTAAGGAGGAGCAAGTCAAGAATATATCTCCTGCAGAGTCTTTCCTGATTTGCTTCTGAAAGTAGAACAGACCACTCTTTTACTATCTCTCCTTCATATGCAGATCTATATATTAAAAAGCCCTTACGAAAAATCATTTTTCTTGTCTTCCTCCCCAAACTTCAAGGGCAGTGATTTGATCTGACTCATAACTGTATCTCCAGCAATTAGGGGCTCCCACTAGGTGCTCAATAAATGTTTGCTGAATGTTACACTGCATATAAATTGTTCTTAAACAATAAGGAATAAAAGGAAAATATTTTAATTTTCCTTGGAACATGAGATCGGAATTAGATCACAAACCATTATAGCATTTGAGACTTACTACCTGATTATAAAAACATTAATATGCACCTAGATAGTCCACATTATTCCCCAAACCCAAAAGTTTATTTTACTATTTTACAAAACCAAATTCACCCACACATTTACTGCCATTATGCATATTCAATTAATGTTCAGATACACATGTCAAATTCAAGGGAAATATCTTAGATAATAATAGTTTCATTAGAATAAAACTTGAACTTTCTATAGTAGTAGCTATTTTACGAGATTAGGAAAATTTCTTGTTACTACATAAAAGATGACAACATCCACTAATAGCCAAACTTTGTGTAAAGGAAACACTCTGATTTATTTTTAGCAGTGTTTGGAAAATCTCACAATGTTAGCTTTAAGTAACCAAATATAAACTTGGAAACAGAATAAACCAATGCAAATGAATGTAAGAACAGTATTTCTTAGGAAGCAATCTAAATAATTTATATAAAGTATATTAATATGTCTTTTATAGATGAAAATCTATCCTTTATCACCTTATCAATAGTTATATAATCAGTAGTTATTAGCTAATAACAAAATGACATATGGAATGATGACAGTCTAATTCCCCCCAAAAAAATCAAGCAAAATTAATAGTGGTTCCTTTCCTAATCACCTTAATCTTTTTCTTTCTTTGACATCATTACTTGATCTTTTAAAAATAAGAAAGCTTGGAAAGTCTATATTTTCTTAACAAGAAAACAAGCATTGTTTAATGGATGTCATTACTTGAAAACATGTTAGTTAAACAGAGTGGTAAATTATTGCTATTCTTAGCAAAATAGAATAGTAGGGATGAAAAAGATCTTATAGCCTACAGTTTTATTTTCTTAAGAAAAACTTTTTTCCTTATTAAATATGCAGCATATCAAAATATGGAAATAAATGGAAATGGATGAGGCCCACAGACTTATTTGCTGGCTCATTCTTTCAGTTTTAGTAATGGATCCTAAGAGATAGCTATAGAAAAATGAAACTTCAGGGAACAAACATATCTTCATGGACACAGCCAATGTCTTCCATTCCCCAAGACAGCATGACTGTTCTGTGTTCATAGAGTCCATTTACAGCAGAATATACTGCATGCCCATGAGTAAATTATGTTTCTATTTAATATTTCTAGATAATATTTAAAGTATAATCCCTTATGGGAATTATTATTAACTTTTAAAACTTGATTTCAATAATTTCGTTCCCATAAAATAGAAACGGCATTACTTTTTCATACTGTTTGAATTCTTCTTTCCTATCACTGAATAAGATGGCTGCCTATGTAAATGCACTAAATTTCTTAGCATTTTCACGTGCTTTGCAAATAAAGCTGTCTAAAACAAATTCTATAACTCAATTTCTAGTTTTGTTGTAAACCACATATTAGTTAATAGCATAGCACACCTGATTTGACTTGGCATTTTCAAAACTGATTTATTGCACTCTGCAAAACCAATTAGCTCTAATCTTGCAAATGCAATAGGTTTCTCTTGCCATGATTATTATTATGCAACCTATAGATACGTTATATCATCTCTTGGTTTATGTAATTGTGATTTGCCACTCATTTCCAAGAGAAAACCTATCCCTAAAGCAATAGGTTCTGCCATTTTCTATTAACAATAAAGTGCTATGTATTATCTAACAGCACCCAGGTTACAAAGAGGGGTCTATACAAACCACCATACTCCAAATCCAAAAGTAATTCCTGGGGAGGAACTGATGTGTCTTTAATGTTTTGCAGTCATTGTCTTAGAATTTAAACACAAGTAGCCTCAAGTTTGTGGTTTGCTTCTATTGCCTACGGATAGCTGCAAAGAACAGGCTAAACATGATGGATTTCCTAAAGGTTTTCAGAATATGCTGAATAATTAAGTAGGGTTGGTGACAACTTAGGCTGTATTAAGGTAATGATATCTCTTTCTGTTTTCTTTAATAATTTCTATTCTCAATTGTAATTCCTTTTTCAAAATTGACAACAGCAATTTGACAAGCATTGTATGTAATTACACTTCACCTTTTTATTCGATATAAAGGTGAATGACTTCCGTTCATTCACAATAAAACTACATAGACCTACTATCCTGGATAGCTATTTCATAGCCGTATTAGCAAGTTATTTTGATATATGTCTTCTGTTTTCTGTGTCATTATCAAGTAAGAAAGAACTCTGAGAATTCTATATCTTGTTTTGCTGTTGATGAGAGCCCTAATTAACTTATGCTTAAAGAGATTTTAGAAGAATACCAACATACGTTTCTCTGAGATTCCTCTTAGATTATCAAGAGGCAAAAAGGTGAAATAATGGGAAATCGAATTTTAAAAAGTCCTTCATTTTTGTACTGTATA
Source organism: Homo sapiens (assembly GCF_000001405.40). Taxonomy (NCBI): domain Eukaryota; kingdom Metazoa; phylum Chordata; class Mammalia; order Primates; family Hominidae; genus Homo; species Homo sapiens. The sequence goes on along the minus strand of NC_000013.11, from coordinate 92,060,391 downwards.
TGGTTATATGAGGAAAAATAAATGAAATAATTTTTGGATAAGTTAAAATATTTTTAATTTGTATTTCAAATTTCAAAGGTAGAATGAATTATATTCAATACAAAAGGCATCTACTATTACTACAATAACTACATTTTAATCAATAATTCATGTATTTATATCTACATAATTTCCACCCATTTTCTCATTATACTACCGCAAGCTTCTTTGTATAGGACTTTGATGCTTTTAAAGAGCAATAAATAACAAAAATGAAGAATACACATTAGACCTGAAAAAAATCATATCAGCACTCTATATCAAATGTATTTATAATATTAATAAAGTAATGAAATCCAACATAAATATGAAAAACTCCATTTTATAAAATGAGCAACTTAAGTGAACTTTAAAAATATTTTTTAAAGTGTTTTTTTTTTATTTTTTAAAATAATTGCACCAACGTAAAGCAAACCTCTAGTTGATGTGGGCATGTTACGTAGGCATTAGCAGTACAGCCCTCATTATGCACTCGTTGGACAGCAGCGCAACCCCAAGGAAAGGATGGTTAACTTATGTGAACTTCACCTAAAAATATACTTATACTTATACCTCTATGCAAAAGTGAGTCTCCCAGCTAAGAAAACGTATTTTATATCTGGCTGCAGTGGTAAACAAATCACAATTAGGATGAAGTTTTCTAAATACTATTTATAGTAATGAAATATGGAAACATCTTAAAAGTCAATCTTGGCTAAATAAAGGTACATACTTATAAAGGAAAACTATCCTACCGTCATTATAAATGACATCAGGTATTGACATGGAAAGATCTCAATAATATACTATTGAGTGAATTTAAAAGATTATACACAAAAGCATATCTAGTATATTCTATTTTATATAAAATAATTCTAGGGTATAGGTATATATAAGAAGAGATGGCTATATGTATGTCTTTAACATAAATAATGGTTGCCTTTGGGCAGCAGGATTGATACTGATATATATTCATTGATATTCAACAATGAATATCTATTTCTTGGCCAAGTGCTAACAGCACTGATGATCTTTCTGCAATGACTCTGAATCTTTTTGTTTATTTGTGCAAATTTGTTTGAGAAATTTTGTTACTTCTATATAATGGGTAATTACCCTCCAGATGTGTGCTGCATTGTTGAGACTATTTGTGGTCTTCTCATCTAAGACATTTTAAGATGATATAGATATGAACATATTCTGAGCAGCTACAGCCAAGTAATAAATAACCCCTCTGTGATTACTCCCTAAATCTGCACAGGAAAAAGCAGTATACAGTACAGTTCAGTAACAACCACATATCCTAATGGTCAAGTCTTCTTAGATAAAATGTACAGTTTTATGAGAACAGAGCAAGGTAATTCAAGTTTTTTATGAGCAAAAATGAAGAGAGGTAAGATAATTAGAAAACCATGATACAGCGCAAAACAATTGCAAAGGCTCAGAGTCAATGGTTGTCTAATTGGGATGAAAGACCTTAACATTTGCTCCAATCTTTGTGTAAGGAAATAAATCTAAAGACCCAATTCTGGCCAAGGGCGGTGGTTCACGCCAGTAATCCCAGCACTTTGGGAGGCTGAGGAGGGTGGATCACCTGAGGTCAGGAGCTCAAGACCAGCTTGGGCAACCTGGCAAAACCCCATCTCTACTAAAAATTCAAAAATTAGCTGGCTGTGGTGGCGGGCACCTGTAATCCCAGCTACATGGGAGGCTGAGGCAGGGAGAATTGCTTGAACCGAGGAGGTGGTGGTTGCAGTGAGCTAAGATCGCACCACCACACTCCATCTCAAAAAAATAAATAAATAAGTAAATAAATACCCAATTCTAATGTAAACTACAGACTTTGAGTGATAACAGTGAGTCAACGTAGATTTAAAATGTAAATGTTGGTTAAAAAATGTACCACTCTGGTGTGGGATGTTGATAGTGAGCAAGGTTGTGCATGTGCAGGGATGGGCTGTATGGAAACTCTCTGTATGTTCCACACAATTTTGCTCTCAAACTAAAAATGCTACTAAAATAAAGTTTATTGATTTTAAAAAATTCTGGCCACACACAGTGGCTTACACTTCTAATTCCACCACTACGGGAGGCCAAGGCAAGTGGATCGCTTGAGACTAGAAATTCAAGACCAGCATGGGCAACACAGTGAGACCATCTCTACAAAAAAATAAAAATTAAAAATATATTTTTTAAAAAATCTAAAGACCCTCTGTTAATTTAGCTGTTGGAACCACAACAGTGGTTGTCTTCTAATCATCCCAGAGGACTCAACTGAGATTCAATCTTCTTCATGTGTCTCTGGAATTCATAGTCAGAAGACTGGGATGGAGTCAATGAGATCCCATTCAATTATGTCTGCCATTTTCCCCTCTCAAAAGGACCTATGAGACTACAGGCCTCCGTCCAGAACTAACCTGCAACTTCAGAGGTGTAGGAAAGGAATGAGACAGCTATACAATGCTTTTTTTTTTCTCTTTTCCTCTGTACCCCAATAAAACAATCTGCTTTACAGGTTAGATATAAAGAGTACAAAATTTGTTTTAAAAATACGAAGGTTGTTATTGGGAGCTGTAAGTCTTCAACCATATTTCATATCTTGTAAGGGTACTATTAGCCTCCAGATAAAAAATAAAATTCAAACCATTATACCATCATTCTGGATCCATGTTAAACAAACCAACTTAGAGCTTTCAGCAGGCTATGATGAGATACATGTCTAGATACAGAAATAGCCCTGTGCCATAGGGAGATGCTGTATCATATTGACATTTCAAAATAGATTAAAAAAAATTGAAACCTACTTCTGGATGCATCACAAAAAAGCAAGAGGCTTGGAGCACATTACTAAATTCAATGTACTAAAGAGAGAAAGAGTATTTGCTTATCTACTGCTGAGTAACAAGTTACCCCTGAACTTAGGGGTTTTAAACAACAACCATTTTAGTTTTTCTTGATTCTGCAGGTTAGGAATTTGGGCAAGGCTTAGCTGGATTTGGTATTCTGGCATTCCGGTCTGTTTTAGGCTGGAAGCTTTAAGAAGTCTTTGTGTTTTTTGTTTGTTTTTTGTTTTTTGTTTTTTTGTTTTCCACATTTCTGTCACTTCATATGGCCTCTCTCAGTTTGGCTACCTTGAGCTTCCTCTCTTCCTGGAGCTGTCAAAAGAATTGGACTTCTTACATGGTAGATGGCTTCTATGAGGGAGAAAGAGGAAGTCACAAATCTATTGCCATCCAGATATGGAATCAATTGGCATCATTTCTATTGCACTCCATTTTATTTGAAAAAGCCAGTCATAAAGCCAGTCCAGATTCCAGGGAAGGGGCAATGGACCCCACCTCTCAATGAGAGGCATGGGAAAGAATTCATGGTCAATTTTTAATCAATTACAGGAGGGAGTAAGAGGTCTTTACAGGGTATTTAGCAAAAGCATCTGTTTCTATTAGGTAACTGAGGTTAATCAAACTAGAGACTGTTTTATGATATTTGAATTGATATTTTCCTCCTTATCTGGGTTGGAGAGAGGATATGAACTTGATAACAGTGTCATTATTTCAGAAAAATAATGTAGCATATTATATTGCTTTCCTTTATGTCTTGACAACTATATAAACCTATAAAAATGAAACAAAGAAATAAGCAAACAAAAACAAACAACCCAAAATGTACACACTGAGTTATTCCAATTTAATTTGTATGGCATTGGATCACCACCTTTTATTTCCCATTTAAAAAATATGTTAGTGTGATGTAGTTACAGAAAAAAGACATTGAAGAAAATATTAATTCTCATTACCCTTGGTACAGAATATTTTCTTCCAAATATACAGGTAAAAATTTATACTACAAATGATATAAATGGAAAAAGAAACACGATTGTGGTAAACAGAGTCATGCTCCCCCTCCCCCAAAGATTTTCACATTCAAATCTCCAAAACCTGTGAGTATGTTACCTCACATGGCAAAAGGGACTTTGTGGTTGTGATTAAATTAAGGATTTTGAGATGAGGAGATTAACCTGGATTATCAGGGTGAGCCCAGTGTAATCCCGGAGGTCTTAATAAATGAAAGAAAAATGCAAAAGTATAAAAGAGAAGGGGTTGAGATGATGGAAACAGAGTTCTGAATGATGAGGTCAGGAGCCGAGGAAAGCAGGCAGTTGCTAGCAGCTGAATAAGGCAGGGAAGAGATTCTGGAGCCTACAGAAGGAAGACAACCTTTCATTTTAGCCCCATAAGATCCATTTCAGACTTCTGACCCGCAGAACTATAAGATAATATATTAAGCCACTAAATTTATAGTAGTTGGGTATGGGAGCAATAGGAAACAAACTATTAAACATTTAAAAGAAGTTTATGATTATTTTTAATGATAGCTAACATAAATCAATAAATCATTTAGAAAAAAATTTAAACTAATGGTACAGTAAAAACAGTGAACTACAATAATGCTATTAAACTATTGCATCTGGGATTCAGAAATGCTCTGATTTTAAAGTAATAATATTGATTGAAGTCATGCAAACGATGCTTTGAAAATGATGCATCACAGATACATAATTCCTTTCTGAAGCATATTATTTAATCTACTTTAAGATTTTAGAAATATACACAAACACCCAATGATAAATTAAATATGCTTACTTTATCTTAATTTATGCAAAAGACATGCAAGGTGTTTAGTTTATAAATTCAGGGTTCTTCCCCTATGGGAAGGAAACAAGCATTTCAACTCAAAATTGTTTGGTATGATTGGAAAATAGGCAGTAAATGTTGTTGCTTTACATATTAGAAAAGTTAAAATATTTAAACTTTTGAGATCTCAAGGACTTCTATTTGGCTTTATAGAAAATCCTCAAAAGAAAAATATTGTGTTACCAAACAAAGCAAAACATGGTTCACACAATTCTACATAAATTGATAAAGTTTACATCTTGAATTTTGTTAGCAATTTTGAATTTATAATTAATAAACCTTAAACATTTAAGAGTATAAATCCTTTAATAATCAATTACCACATCCAATTAGCCCATAATCACTGAAATATACAATTGGGACTAGAGCTCATTTCAAATCTCAAAATACAAAGTCACTTAATTCAGAACTCCATCTGTGCCTCAGTCTCTAGAGTCTGACAAACAGCCTCCAAATTGTCTTCAGAGTTTTCATCAAAACAAGACACCAGTTTGGAATCTATTTTAACATTACTTGCAACATATAGGGACTCACACTGCATCTGGTTTGACTTTTCTCTAATGAAAGTTGCTAGTTGTTCTGTGTCAGGAAGGATGTAAGTATTCCCTAGAAATAGTGCTGTTATTTAGAATACAACAATAGAGAAATCAAATCCCCAGATCTTATATTTCCTATTCATAAAATTGTGATTGGCCTTTTTATATCTCTGTTACTCTTGAGACAGAAAATTAACTTTATGTACATATATGGGATACCCATAAAACTCAGAATAGTTCACATTTTTATTCTCCAAAAAGAATTAGAAATAAAGTCAAAGCATATTTTCCTTTAATCCTGGGGATTTTGTATAGTTCAATGTTATCTATTGAGGTGATGTTAAATAGCAGTACTGTAAATAACTGGCAAGGGAAGAACTGCAGCATGATCTTTGCAATAGTACTGCAAATAGAGAAAAACAGCCTCACAAAAATTATATTTCACTTGTCAGACAATGTCAACTCCTTGCAGATAGCAAATATTTATATTCTACTTTGTCAAGTGTGCAGGTCTTGTTGTGTAACTCACTGGGTTCAAAGTCTGGTTTCACTAGTCTCTATAATGTGGGTTATAACTTGGGCTCATTGACATCCTGTAAGCTTCATTTTATTCATATAAATTGCATTTAAGAATGCCTGCATCAGAAATTTGGGAGGCATGAGTTCTAAGTAAATTAATATACATAAAATACTCAGAACAATTTCTGATTCACAGTAAATGATCAATAAATGCTTGCTGATATTAAGGGTAATCAGAAAGAATGCACACTATTTCAAGTCATGAAGAAGTGAGAGTTTCAGAGACAAAAGCTGCCTTGTCTTTTGTCAGGCTATGAAAAACAAGAATATAACTTTTTTTTAGAAGAATCAAAAGTATGTCTTTGTCCTGTATCTCTGTTTATTTTGTGTGTGTGTGTGCTTAATAAACAAAGTCAGAATTCATTCAGCATTTGAGCCTACACACACACACACACACACACACACACACACACACCCCTCCAAAGTAATTTATTATATTTAAGATGTCTATTATATTGTCTTCTCCATTCCTGCCTCTATAAGTGAAATCTTATTTATTTATTTATTTATTTATTTATTTATTTATTTATTTGAAATGGAATTTCACTCTTCTTGCCCAGGCTGGAGTGCAGTGGCGCGATCTCAGCTCATCGCAACCTCTGCCTCCCGGGTTCAAGTGATTCTCCTGTCTCAGCCTCCCGAGGAGCTGGGATTACAGGCGCCTCCCACCACAACCGGCTAATTTTTTTGTATTTTTAGTAGAGACGGGGTTTCACCATGTTGGCCAGGCTGGTCTCAATCTCCTGACCTCAGGTGATCCGCCCACCTCGGCCTCCCAAAGTGCTGGATTACAGGTGTAAACCACCGCGCCCGGCCATGAAATCTATTTTTTAATTCCATAAGGCAATGAACACATATCAAAGTAATATACAACTTCTTTATTGCTATACATTAACGTATAGCAATGTATTTTGTACATATTTTCATATATCTGTATATAAAATTTTCAAAATAATAATAAAAACAATCTAAGTAACATTTCAAAAAACAAATATAGGAAGAGAAAGAAAGACGACCCAAACCAAAATCTAAAACGGAAGAGAGAGAAAAAAAGAAATAAAAAATCTTGCAGACAAAGATAAATTCTCTGGGTTGAAATTCCAACGTTTTATGCAAGGGAGAAGAGTTCTTGCCTCGGCTCAGTACCTTCATGGGCCCAAACGTTTGTGCTCAGACCCTCTGCTGACTAGAAACAGCAGACGAAAGGTGAAGAGCACAGACACTGGTCACAGAGAGAGGTCAACTTTGACGTCGGTGGGAGATAACTGATATGTATGAATCTTCTGTGACTGATGTGCTGAACATGCCTGACGCCTAACATAAGCAAAATATAACTTAGTTCCCTCTTCCACCATTCCTGAATTGAAACTTTATTCAGCAGGCCTCATTTTCACATGTTCCTGAATGGACTGGGAAACAACCACAGCTTCTGTGTTGAGTTTTAGGTAATTGAGTCCTACAGTCATTTTAAGTACAAGTTTAAATTTAAGTACAGTTTAAATTTAAACTCAGAAACCGGTTGTCCAGTCCAAGATCATCATAATAAAAACGAACAAACATGATTTACAGTAAAATTCTGTTTCCTCTTCCAGACCTGCTTTAAGCTGGAAACCTAGGAGGGGTGTTTAGGAGAGAAGGTGGTATCTTTTGCTTTTCGGGACCCTTGAGGGTTCCTACAGGGCTCTTTCTTCCTACAGTTCCCTTGACTCAGGTAGAGCCATCTGTGTCCCTTTGGGGTGTCCTTTGCAACTTCCTCACCTCTGAGAATCTCTTGCTGTATAACTTGGCTCTTTCTACTGATGTCTCTGTCCTACTGAGAGGTGAAGCCAGCTGGACTTCCTGGCTCAAGTGGGGACTTGGAAAACTTTTCTGTCTAGCTGGAAGATTATAAAAACTCACCAATCAGCACTCTGTGTCTAGCTAAAGGATTGTAAATGCACCAATCAGCACTCTGTAAAAACTCACCAATCAGCACTCTGTGCCTAGCTAAAGGATTGTAAATGAACCAATCAACACTCTGTAAAATGGACCAATCAGTGCTCTGTAAAATGGACCAACCAGCAGGACATGGGCGGGGACAAATAAGGAAATAAAAGCTGGCCACCCTAGCCAGTGGCAGCAACCCGCTCGGGTTCCCTTCCACGCTGTGGACACTTTGTTCTTTCGCTCTTCACAATAAATCTTGCCGCTGCTCACTCTTTGGGTCTGTGCCACCTTTAAGAGCTGTAACACTCACTGCGAAGGTCCATGGCTTCATTCTTGAAGTCGGTGAGACCAAGAACCCACCAGAAGGAACCAACCCCGGGCACACTACAGGCAACCTTAGTGGACATAACCCAAAGCAGTCTTGTTTGCTTTTCTCTCCCATGCATTCCATGACAGGTCTATGGGAGATACTCACATATCTCTAACACTATTAGATTTCAGGAGTGCAGGCCAATTTTAATGGGATGTCACTTATGCATAAGTCCAAGCATGGATCAGACCTAATACACATTCTGTTTTAGTGTTCCCAAGAATGAATGTGGCACAAGCCCTCTGTGTCTCTCACCCTCAGGGAATATATTTCAAAATTGATCATTTGCACTTTATTTGCTCTCACTAGGTTTGGAACTATAAAAGCATTCCCTCACTCCTACCTCAAATAAAAACTAGGGACTTATGCATCAGCTCTCTAAAAAAAGAGTCCTGCCATCAATGTTCTCTTTCCACATCTGACCCCTTCATATGTCTGGTCTAGAGGGTGGTCCAGAAAGTTGTGGAACAGATTCTTCTTCTCTCACTCTTGTTAATTTTTATATGAGAGGGGCTCTGGCTTTTGTCTTACCTTCACTTTGTTATCCTGATGCCAGGCAAAGCTGAAGTAGATTTCCACTCTAATGATGTGTTTCACACTATCAGCCTAAACAGCTGAAGCCACTAAGGTCAAAATGTATATCTATTTAAATCTCAATAATCTCTGTGATACTGACGAGTCAAAAAGAAACAGAGCTGGTCAGCTCAAGGTGTGGGTTCTGGACCAGCAGCCTATGCATCACATGGCAACTGGTTAGAAATGCAGTCTCGTCCGGGTGCAGTAGCTCATGCCTGTAATCCCGGCACTTTGGGAGGCTGAGGCAGATGGATCACAAGGTCAAGAGATCGAGACCATCCTGGCCAAGATGGTGAAACCCTGCCTCTACTAGAAATACAAAAATTAGCTGGGCGTGGTGGTGTGCGCCTGTAGTTCCAGCTACTCAGGAGGCTGAGGCAGGAGAATCACTTGAACCCGGGAGGCAGAGATTGCAGTGAGCCGAGATGGTGCCACTGCACTCCAGCCTGGTGACAGAGCGAGACTCCGTCTCAAAAAAAAAAAAAAAAAAAAAGAAAAAAATGAAATGCAGTCTCTCCTCTCTTCCTCAGACAAACACTGAATCTGAATATGCATTTTAGCTGGTTCCCTGAAAGAGTCATATGTGTAATAAAGTTTGGGAGGCACTACATAGGCAATTATTAATTATGATGCTTTTAAAGTCATCTCTCAAACTGTACTCCTTATAAAATTAATATCTTCCAAAATGGCTTCCACAAAAAATGAGGTTTATTATCAAATGTATTTTTAAAATATTAAGTTAAATAAAGTGCAGCAAATTTCCTTTCTGCCATACTTCAGAGAGTCCAATTAAGCATTGCTATACTCCAAGAGAAAAACGGCATGTGCAATATTTCTTCAAGCCATTTCACCTTGAAGCTATGTTTTCTTAGGGTGATCTATTAATATCTTTTGGAACACTGGGGTTTGTAAAAAGCAGATTGAAAAATGATGCCCCAATTTGTGAAGAAGTGATCAAATTCTATTATACAGACTCAAATTTACACTTCAGGAAAAACACCTGTTTGAGGTTTCAAATTACACATTGTAAAAATTGTTTATGTGAAATGTCTTATTCTTTACAGATTATATGGTAAAATAGTTTATCTTTGCTCCTGTCTTCCCACTGCTGTCTCCAGACACATTAATACTCTCATTCTGCCTACTGGACTCAGGGACTTGGCACTGATCTCAAACAAATCTCAACATCTTTTTGCATGTTCAGATTCAAGATTTCTCCTTCCTGTTGCCTCTTATCAAAATATGTGTCTGTATTACATTCCTCCAAAAGTAGATAATCCCCATATAACCACTCAGTGAAAGCCACCCTTTGATAGGTAAGGTCTGAAATTGTCTGGATATGCTATTCCTTATTGCTTTTTTTAAAAAAAATATAGAGAAGAGCTAGGCTTTAAAATGTCTTATCCCAAGACAAAACAAAACAAAATTACATATGTTGTTACAATTCAAATATGTTTTACCTAAAACAATCTCTGAATATCATGAGGATGAACTCTACTTAATCATTGGAATGATGTACCATGTGCTAAGAAATCAGAAAGATTGTAAATATGAACATATGAGTACACTCTCCTCATTTCCTCTTAGAATCATGTCTTCATTGGGTATCCTGTGTTTCTTTCTTAGTTATTTCATTATTTAAATATCTTTTGTATTTTTTCTATCATTTTCCATGATCCAGGAAGACAAGTTTTCTGCTTACAAAGAGTTTCAGAGCCAGCTTTTTCTCCTTTCCACTTAGAGCTTATCCTAGACAATTTGTATCAAAAATGCAAGCTACTTTTGAATTTTCTTTTAAATTTTTCTAGACATACTATTTTGTGGCTAAAAAAAATCTCATTTTTAGATTTCTTCATTTCCTCTTCGCTTTCATCATAAAAAATAGAGTCTGGCTGCCATTTTATGCATGTTTTGGTCATACTACAATTAAGTTAGTTAACATTGCAATCTAATTTCATCTAGCATCCCAAATTATAATTTCTGCTATATTCAATAGGCGCAGAGACAGTTAAATGGTTACAACATTATAAAATATTAATTTGCATAATACTAATAGTCTGATGCATTTTAGAGTATCTTTCCCACCCTGCCTATTGTAAAGGAACAATTAATCATCAATATGAATAATTCCCCAAGAAAAAAGCTAAGCAGAATTGATAATATGCAAAGAAGCTCAATGGTACATAAACATCTATAATTTCTGCTTTCCTGGTGTCTTTTTATCTGGAGCTCAGATTTTTACCAATGCCTGTTTTACTGTCTCCCTGTATTTATTCATTCGACAAAGGTTGATCTAATGCATATTAAATATTAGGCTCTGTTCCTGACTTTGGGGATTCAAGGAAAGTTAAAAACTATATAAGGTCAGATAGTGATATGTACTAAGGGCAAAAATAAAGCCATTTAAACAGAAAATGACTTGGGTAGAATAACAAGGAGTTACTAATTTAGATATATTTAATCAGCTATGTATTAGGTATATAGTTTTGATCAGATTATCCCAATTATACTCTGTCAAGTTAGGTGAAAATCAATGTTCATTTTTAGTTGCTCTTGAAGTCATTGATTATTAATAAGCTATCCCTCCGTGACTTTTCTGTGACTCATTTATTTTAGACTATACCAAAATTTCTGTCCAAATTTACTTAAAATCCATATGGCCTTTTTAATTTGACATGCTAAGAGAAAGACAGATAGAAAATTTATCTTACTCATATTAAAATAAATCTGTTCCAAATAAGCCATGTTTCAACTGAAATCATGATTATTCTAACAATGAGTTGTTGTGTCTTCTTGTTAAGGAAAAACTGTTAAGGACCAGCAATACATAGGGAATTTTTGATTATTTTTTGGTCAACATTATAAACAAGCCATTGGTCAACTTCATGAAATTGAGAAAAAACCATTGTGACTGCTCGGTGTCATATATGAAAGACAATCTGATAAAACACATTTAAAAATTTCTGAACATTTGTTCAGGCAATATATTAATATTGTGAAATCAAATGTTTAAAGAGTCAACACTGGAAAGTTCATGGATGACTGGTATAAGAATCATAGAAGTCAGTGTATTGAACAGAAACTCTGCCATGTAAAAGTGAACACTATGAGTTTTTAAAACTTACACAAAATATATTAGCGATAGATGTGTTGGCTTCCTGCAGAGATGTTCCTGGAGACAATCCTAGCACAGAAGAAGCCTCTTCACCCTCCTGGCTGACTTTCTGTGTTCTCACCATAAAACTCTGCCCTCCAACCTGTTTTCATTTTAGTTCCTCTGCAGTGTTTGGTGGGATGTATCAAAAGATTGTTATAAATACCTAAGAATTGTAACACAGCATAGTCAAATCTCAATTTTGAATACAAAGTTAATAAAATATATGTAATATAAAATAAATTTATATAATTACATATAATATATGTTACAACGTTGTATGAATAACATACACTATTATTTGTAATATGAAAATGATATTACATATAATTCAGTAATTACCACAAATCTGTCAGATGAGTTTTATTATTTAAACAATACATATGAGAAGAAGGCTGAACCTTGATTATTTGGCTCCATGTCTTTATTTTTGTAGTATAATGTTATCTATCGTCTAAGGTTTTCACTATATACAACTGTGTTTCTAGAATATAAGTTGAACTATTATATTCCAAATAATTAATGTAATACCGCTTTTTTTTTCTTTTGAGATGGAGTCTTGCTCTGTTGCCTAGGCTGGAGTGCAGTGGCATGATCTCGGCTCACTCCAACCTCTGCCTTCCAGGTTCAAGCGATTCTACTGCCTTAGCCTCCCTAGAAGCTGAGATTACAGGTGCATGCCACCACGCCCGGCTAAATTTTTGTATTTTCTTTTTTTTTTTTTTTTTTTTTAGTAGAGACAGAGTTTCACCATGTTAGCCAGGATGGTCTCGATCTCCTGACCTCATGATCCGCCTGCCTTGGCCTCCCAAAGTTCTGGGATTACAGGAAATACGTCATTTCTTAATGTTTGCTGAACAAATATTAACTAGAAACTAAACTTACTAGTTTAAATATGAGTTAGAGGGTTTAAAATAAAACTACTGCAAAATAATACCTATATATGCAATACACGCCCTTCATTGACTTGCTGGATTTATAAAGGTTAGAAGTAACTGTGATAATAATAATAATGATAAAAGTAATCACATTATGTGTCAGAATATATGGGAGATACAAGGCTCACTGGATGATCATAGAAATAAGGAAAAAAAAATATATATATATAGTTTAAAAAGAAAGTCAATAGGAATGAGAAAAAATTTGATGGAGGAAGACATTTGTCATTAATATTCTGGGTACATTTTTCATTACTGGAACCCATCTCCTTGGTGTTGGTCTATGTTTTCATGCCATCCAACTGAGAATTCAGATCTAAGATGATTTAATTAATGTTGTTTTTGCAATCTATTTTGTTATAAAAAAAATGATCAGGGATGATCTAAACCATCTTGCCGTAAATGTAGTCACTAGTATGGGTTTCTTTTCTTTCCCTTCATTCTGGATTCATATCAAACCAGGGTCCCTAAACAGACAAAAGAAAAGGTAAGAGGCAAGAGGAAATATTGCACACATCTATGGTATCACTATGTGTTCTTATTTGAAAATTGAATTCTCTGTGCTAGGGAGGAAAAATAAATTCTGTGAAATCACTTAAATCTACTGCATTTAATGAGGCAAGAATAGACCCCAAAAGTGCTTTTGAATATTACTTGTAAATATTTTATTAAAACATTAGTGATTTTAAAACATTCAATGGTATCATATAGGCATTTAAGAAAATAATCCCTGCGAAAATATACACGAATGCATTATAAAGACAGAAGTCTGCATGCTGTCATTTGCTGCTCAGAGGTAAGATACAAGTGTGTTTTTGTCCTTTCTTTCCAATGATGTAAAATTCTATCTTCATTAACTCTATGGTTTATTTACAAATACTTGAGAAGCAGAACCTCTTTACATTTGTAGGATTTTTTAATAAGATATAGAACTGTGTGACTAATCAGCAGAATAATGGAAGCACTCTTTACCAAAGTAAGAAGATAAAAGTTTTGGCGGGGAGAGTGAAATAAAAATGAGTTTTCTTCCTGGAAATCGGTATTCGCTTGAAAGAAGACCCAACTAGAAACAAGAACATTTGTTTCCTTTGGTGGAATAATCTTCTTTTGATCCTCAGGACTGCCTAGAATTATAAAACTTCATATAGTATCCAATTGAAACTCCTAACATGCTTCTGAGTTTTCAAAATATAACATGAGGAAGAAAAACATTCAGTGTAAGGACTTTGGATGGAGGAGTTTGCTTGGAGAATATAAAAACAAGATGACATTCATTTCAAACAAAAGTTCTTTCTTGAACTTGTAATAGATTGATGAAATATTTTTAGAAGAACACAATGGTATAAAGAAAACTAAATTTAAAGAAGAGACTTCAGGAAATGTAATCACCTACTGTTATACTCATAGATAGGTAATTGTGATTTTTCTTTCATAAAAGATCAATCTTATTTCTTGAGACATTAGTGAATTTTTTTTTTTCTGTTTGATATAGTCTCACTCTGTTGCCCAGTCTGGAGTGTGGAGTGCGGTGGTGCGATCTTGGGTCACTGCAACTGCCGCCTCCCGGGTTCAAGCCATTCTCCTGCCTCAGCCTCCTGAGTAGCTTGGACTACAGGCTCCTGCTGCCACGCTCGGCTAATTATTTTGTATTTTTAGTAGAGACGGGGTTTCAGGCATTGGTGAAATTTTAAACTGAATATTCATAGCCTCTGGAATGAGGCAAATTATAATTTTTCTCATCCCCCATATCTGCACTAGGAATATACCCTGAGCATCAATATTTATCCCAAGACCCAAATAGGATCTACCTCCGTGAAGCCTTCTTTTATTATCTCAGTTGCCATAGTTCTCCTGTATCACTTCCTGGCCCCTCCTGAAACTTTATTCTTTCCAACAATACATCTTCTCTAGTGACATTAATTATAAATCCTCCTCAGTTTTTCATTTTTAAAATCATTTGCATCTTAAGTACCATGAAAGTGGTCTATGTATAGTAGACAGCTCTACAAGTGTTTGAAATGACGATGTTTGTGGCCCATGGTGATGGTGACAATCATGATCATGACGGGGGTGGTGGTGATGACAGTGTGATAAATCATCCTCTCCCTCTCCAAGTGTTCAGCAAGCCCATAAAATATCCCAGGGAAAGTTTAGGAATGAAGTTACTCCCTTCTCCTTACCACTGTTTAGCTTCTTCCTTGGTAGGAGTGATGTGATAGTGATATAATGAGTCTGACATCTATTTGCTCATGGTCAGGGTTAATGTCCTAAACTTACAGGTTCATATATTGCTTCTCTTTCTCCTTCTATATACCCACATTGATTCTCTGTCTTGGAAATTGCTTGCCTGTAAGCACGACACATTTTACTCTTGAATCTTGCCTTTTCCGTACCGTAAACCAAACAGAACGGGCTAAATTTTATGCAGGGAAGTATTCAGTCATTCAACTGCTCTGTTAGCAGTTTTGGGGGGTACAAGTTCTATGGAGGGAAAAAGAAAGTCAAGAATAGTTTGTTTGAAATCCAAGCTATATTTTCTAAACCAACTATGCATCTATAATAAAGCAGATTATTTCTTCTCACTCTGACTTGCTATATATTTCCAAATAGGTTCAGAAATATGAACCTATTTAGAATAAGATGGGGTGCTTAATTAACCAAATAAATACACTAATGATAGTGATCATGATAAAATTATTTTCACCAACCTTTTAAAGTTGGACAAAGCCAGGGTTTTAATTTTTTGCCAGAAGTAGGCATATTCAAAGAAAAATTTCTATTAAAAACTCTCTTAGGAAAATACTAGGAATTAATACATCAACATCTGGATGGGTTATGTCTTTGGTATGATCAAATTTTGTTAGTGCATTTAAACATCTTACTATATTTCAAATTATATTAAAAGCTGGTTGATAAGGTGTAATACTCTCAACATCCACCCTAACAGCTTTCTGGCATGCCAGAGCCAGACAGAAAAAACTACAATTCCTAGAACACTTGCTGCCCGGTTTTATGTTTTGCCAATCAGATATCGTAGTGCAAGATCCCTATTCAGAACCAAGTCATTTGGCAAAGTAAAACACATACGTTAGCTTTGGCAGAGGCAACTGTCCAGCATTCAGATTAAACAACATCCTGACTAGTTTTTGAGACATCACCTATGATGACATCTTCTGATTCTATGGCTCCCCAATCCATGTAGAGGCAGCTGCTGTGTGGCAGTCCAGTTCTGCTCAGTACAGGGCTGTTTCTAGAAGCTCAGCTTAGGGCCTTATTTACATAACCATTTTACTTAACCTGTGGGTTAGTTTTACTCCTTAAAAAAAGATGTATTCTTATGAAGAATAGTCTGTTGTATGTGGTTAAATACTTTGGCTAGTGGTCACTAAAATGATTCAGGATGGAAATACAAATACAGGTTAAGAATAGGTGACAAAGTATAGATTTTCTGGTACAGGAAACGTTGTACAGGGTAGAACTAAGAAGAATAACGCCAGGACCTGGGGAGCTTATGAGAGCAAAGGGGATTGAACTAAACATAACTGTCAACTCTCCATGGTTCAAGTCAAAGGGGACACATTTTGTTATGCACTGATAATTATTCCAGAAGAAGAAGTCAAATTTTAAGCACACAGAATGAAGAAAAAGAGAACATGAAGTTATCGGATTCAAATTGCATATGTACCCTATAAGATTCAACAGTCATCTGCTGGAAAGGAAACTACTGCTGTCAGCTACTCACATCTAGGATCATTCACATGTATTCTTCAAAAGTTTTGGTTCCTGATTCACTCCTACCCTATCAATTAAAACATCTGACTCATGGCAATGTCTGTATACATATACATGATTTTTCCAACACCCGATATTCTTAGCTCCCTAAATTATTCCGTTCTAATGATATCTACCTTAGTCACTCCTTCCAAGAGCAAACCCCAGATCTTGTCACGACCAATAACTGCAATGTCTGCAGAGAACTGTGACTATGTGATCTACATATAACAATAAAATGAATACCTCTCATTGATAGGCACCTCAAATCTACGTGGCACATGAAGACTTCCAATTCACTGATACTATCACCTTTCCCAGTTCCTCACTGGCTTGATGATCTAGAAATCCTCTCCTTACCAATTTCCATGGCCCATTACAATCACTCTTGTATACTATACCCCCTTTCTTCCCTTGCTCCTCACATTTTCCTGCTTGCTTGGCACAGCCTCACCCCTGGTTTAAACAAGCTTTTTCTCCATCCCATAACTGGAACCATGTATCTGAAAGTGGCTGGAGAATAACACACAACAATACTAACTCATCCCAATTGAAATTTACAATTCCCAAGGGCCCATAAATGTGACTGTCATATGTGCTCCTTTGTTTTCAACCACTATTTCTTCAATATTTTTTCTGTCTATTTTTATTTTCTCCTTTTGGTAACGCTCATTAAATGTATATTTGTGTAATTAATGTTCTGTCACACGTCTTCGATATTCTGTTCATTTTCCTTCATAGTTTTTTCTTCTCTGTCTTCTTTAGATTATATGATTGGCATGGATTGATTTACAAGTTCATTGATTCTTTCATCTGTGTACCCAAATCTATGTACAGCCCATCTACTGAAGTTTTCATATCTGTTTATTGTATTTTCCACTCTAGAATTTCCATTTGGCTCTTTTTAATAATTTGTATTGTTTACAAATATTCTGCATTTGATGAGACATTGTCATTAGACTTCCTTTACTCTTTCAATTATGGCTCTTTTCGTTCTTTGAACTGTTTTGAACATATTCATAATTAGCTGCTACTTTAAAGTCTTTGTCTGCTAAGCTCACCAATGGGACCCATCAATGGCAGCTTTTATTGCCTGATTTTTTTCTTGCGCATGAGTCACAATTTCCTGTTTTCGCATATCTCATAATTGTTTTAATTAAACATTTAAAATAATACATTGCAGCAAATCTGATTACCCCTCACTCACTCAGTGTTTCTTCTGCTTAGTCACTTGCTTATTTGATTAATGATTTGGCTGAACTAGTTCTGCAAAGTCTATTTTCCCCGTGGTATGTGGCTTCTCAAACATGTTGCTGCTCAGATTTTTTTTTTCCATTTGTTTTTACCTCTTAGGGATCCAGGTAACTCAGGGATCACCCCTGAGTTATCACATTCCACTTATTGGTGAAAGCTTGTGCTGGAGCCCTATTAGCAAGTTGGATTTTTATCCTTTGCGGTTGGATGTATGTCTTGGAGGCCCTGGTGCTATCACGGTTCCAAGCGCATATACTTTTTGCCCCACCTGTCATCAAGGATCAGTAGCTAGTAGCTTGATGGTTCTCTGACTACTGAGAAGTCCAGCTTGTAGCCAAAAACCTATATGTGGTTGTTAAGTTCCACGGATAGGGAATCAAAAGGCTTTACCTTGGAGGCTGCATGGGGGGAAGTGGCCCTCCCCATACTAAGCTTGGTGCACAGCCAGCACATCACAGTCTCTAAGGGGAGGCGCCATCAGGACTCAGGACCCCAGTCAGCTGTGTTCTTGTGCACCTGTGCATACCTATCCCAGCTGCTTCATTCAGAGCACTATTTATTGGGTGCCCATCTCCAGGTGCCTCTGTAGAGACGCCCTTATCAGAGGGAGGAGGAAAACCTTGAAGACACTTTCTCCACTCTGATTCAGTACTTAGAACTTTTCCTCTCCTAGCCACTTCCCCAATCCCTGCTTCTTGACCCCTGGATTCACAAAAGGACAGAAGGCTTTTGTACAAGACTCCTTCAGCAGTGACACCATTCCAGCCATATATGCTGATAATGTCTCACTTTCGTCGAGTGTTGTTTCATGTTGAAGAATGGAACACTGTGGGAGCTGGCACCTTCTTTCTGGCCTCTTGCTAGCACCATAGCAGTGGATGAATAAAGGCGTAATCATTACTTTTACTTAGACTTATGGTATTAATCCACAACTCCAACACCTGGCAGCTCAGTTCATAACAATCACTTGAATGGACACAGCTTTAGGGGGGCAGGCAGTTTTCTAGACTGTCAGGGATGAGTGTGACTTTATTTTTAGGCCTGGTTTCCTATAAGACACCCCTGGGTTAAAGTTGATTATTGTTCAGTGTTTTGTCAGAAGTTAAATGCAAGCACCTTGTACAAGTGAGTCTTCTGCCCGTCAAGGTCAGTGTGAGGTTGGGAGATGCTTTCAAGTCGGCCTCACATTCTGTTCTGATTACTCCTGATGTGGTTTAGACTAGTACGTGATCACATCCTTCCCAACCTTCAGGGTTAATTGTTATCCTCAAAGACTCTTCTGGTTTTCTGCTATTTTGATTGTACAGTAAGCCCTCACTTAACATTGTTGACAGGTTCTTGAAAAATGCAACTTTTTGCATTTGTGAAATGATGTACAATGAAATCACTTTTACTATTGTTTAATTCATATAAATAAGAGTTAAAGTCGGGTGTGGTGGCTCATGCCTGTAATCTCAGCACTTTGGGAGGCCGAGAAGGGTGGATCACCTGAGGTCAGGAGTTCAAGACCAGCCTGGCCAACATGGTGAAACCCTGTCTCTCCTAAAAATACAAAAAATTATCCGGGTGTGGTGGCACATGCCTGTAATCCCAGGTACTCGGGAGGCTGAGGCAGGAGAATTGCTTGAACCCAGGAGGTGGAGGTTGCAGTGAGCTGAGGTCCTGCCATTGCACGGCAGCCTGGGTAACAAAAGCAAAACTTTGTCTCAATAAATAAATAAATAAGAGTTAAATTCCTGCAGCATAATTGTGCTCACAAAAACATCACCAAACTTCTAAATAAAGACCCCAAACACTTCAAATGTTAAACACAGAAATAGGTTTGAGCTATACATACGTTTGATAAAGATGACTAAAAACAGAATTATTTCCCCAATTTTTGGCGAATCAGGAGTAATGGCAGTTGTAGCAGCAGTGGGTTAAAGGAGTAAATGTTTGCAAAGTGGAAATTGTAAGGAGCACCTTCTCCCACCACAGGTTTCAAAACCAAAGGAGAAATAGGGTGGGCTCACTGGGCACCTTCATTCCACCCGGTTTATTTTTGTGCATTTGTGTAATTATCGTAGACTACATGAATTTTTATTTTACAATACTTTGTATTCATGCATTCATTCATTTTCTAACCGGCTTACTGCTTTTCTGGTGGCCAGGCCTTGAGCCACTCCCTACAGCTCAGGGTGCAAGGTGGGAACCTGCCCTGGTTAGGACACCATTCTATTGCGGCGCACACTCACACACACCCCAGTCACTCAGATGGGGGAACGTTTAGTTAGCAGATGCACTTAACGTGCACCTCTTTGGGCTGAGAGAGGAAACCAGAGACTGGCGAAAACCCACATAGCTGGGGAGAAAGTGCAAACTCCACACATACCGTGGCCCTGGCTAGGAATTGATTTTTTTCCCCCATCAATGTTATAATGAAACAATTTTGAACAAAATGATGTTATTTGAGGATTATGTTGTATTATGGAACTAAGAGGCTCATTTTAATTACTCTCCACCAACATCCTCATTGTTTTTGTCAACATCCTTAAGCACAGAGTTTTCCATGTTCTGTTTCAAATAAAATCAGTCCCCTTGGCAGAGCTGTGGAGTGGGTTATGATTCAAACGATATTACAGGCTGAACTGTGCCTTTCCTCAAAACTCACGTGTTGAAGTCCTAACCCAAAGACCTCAAAATGTGACTGTATTTGAAAATAAGGCCTTTAAAGAGGTAATTAAGGTAAAACGAATTCATATGGGTTGGCCTTAATCCAATATGACTGATTTTATTTCAAGAAGAGGAAATTTGAACAGACATGTGCACACACATAGAAAAAAAAACACGTGAAGGTATAGCCAGAAGGCAGCCATTCATTGTGAGCCAAGGAGCGAAGCATCAGAAATCAATCTACCCATACCTCGATCTCATGCATTTACCCTCCAGAAATATGAGAACAATTTGTATTATTTAAGCGACCCTGCCTGTGGTAGTTTGTTATGGCAGCTCCAACAGCCTAATACAGCAACCAACTTTTGCTGATCTTAGTGAAACTTAGTAGATTTTCTTGAACTAATATTTCCTTACTTGCTTATGCCTTTAGCACAATTTACAGAGACATTAAATGAGTGTTGGAGTTTCTAATCATTATTGTAAAATTTCCAACAGTTACACTGCTGTTATGATGAGGAGAGGGTTTACTGAATTCCCGATCCCAACGTTATAGAAGTCCTGCTGCCTCTTCTACTCTGTTCCATCATTTTCCACTCTCTACTGATAATTTCCATTGGCACACAAACATCCTGTTACTTTTTCTATTTTAAAAAACACAGTAAAAGAGAAAACGGAAAACATAATAACAACTTTTCTTTATCCAGCTTCTTCCAATTCTTACTCCGAATTTTGGCAACAATCTTCAGACAGAATGACCAGAGCCACAGGCTCCAATGCTCCTCTTGTCTTTCTCTCCCAAACCCACTGCAGTCTGGCTTTACTCCCACTACACTTCCTAAATTGCTCTGATCAAGTCACCAATTATTTCTTTCTTGCTTAATAGAAAATTTCAAACATCTCCTTAAGTGAATTACCAGCAAGATTTCACATAGCTAATCATTCTTTCCTCTGATATCCTTTCTTCATTTGACTTCAAAGAAAACACACACACATGGTTTTTCTGCCACCTCCTTAGATGCGTTCTTCTCAGTTTAATGAGTCTGTTTCTCCATTTTTCATCTACTTTTTAATGTTAGAGCTTCCTGGGGTCCTGACTGTGTTCTTTTCACTTCTCTGTTTGCATTCGCTCATTTGGTAACCCATTCTTTTTCAAGGTATTGAGTAATACATATATGCCAAAGACATGTCAAATATATGTATATACTATCTATCTATCTATCTATCTATCTATCTATCTATCTATCTATATAGATTTGTACTAAAGTGTTTATTGTACATTGAGGGAGAAATATTCATCAGGCATTTGGTGTATAAGACAGGAGTTTATGAGCATGATCTATACTATAGTAATGAATATATATAGTATATATAATATAGGAATATATATAGTTTATTGTACATTGAGGAGGAAATATTCATTAAGCACTTGGTGTATAAGACTGGAGTTTATGAGCATGATCTATACTACATAGATCTATACTATACAGAGTTGAACATCCCATGCCCCACCCAAACAGGGATCGATCTATCTATCTACCTATCTATCTATCTATCTATCTATCTATCTATCTAGCATAGATCATGCTCATAAACTCCAATCTTATACACCAAGTGCCTAATGAATATTTCTCCCTCAATGTACAAATGAAAACTTTAGTACCGATCTCTGATAACCCAAAACTTGTTACACCACAGTAGTCGCACCTGGGTGTCAATGCCATCATTCCAGATTTAAAGTGACCCTTAATTCCTCTCTTTCTCTAATATCCTATAGGAAATCTAACAGAAATTCCTGTCATGACTATCTTTTAAATATATCCATAAGCCAATCACATGCCACCACCTCTGCTGCTAACACTTAGTGCCACTGCCGTCATATTTCACCTCAATACTGTCAATAACCTAAGTGGGTTTCTCTGTATCTACCCTTATCACGGTCACCATTAGGCTATTCTTATCAAAGCAGCCAGAACGATCATTTTTAGATATAAGGAAGGTCCTATGATTCTCCTGAAATCTGCTCAAAATCTTCTAGTATCTGCCCATGTTACTCAGAGTAAAATCCAAAGTTTTTCAAAGGCCCAAAATTAATATAAACACCTGTGTATAAGCAAATGAGGGTTTCTTAAATCCACTATGGCAGGATAAATTTATATTTGCCATCTAAGTTTCACACAGGATAATGGTTCATACTGTGAGCTTTTAAATAGTTGGTTTATAGGTTTCAGGGATTTATGTAGTCATTTACTGAATTCATATTTATTAAGGACTCCCCCTGTGCCAGTCAGGCACTATTCTAGGCCCTAGCAATTTAGTAAAGAATCTAAATCCCATATCTCAGGGAGTTTACCTTCCAGCGGGGTAAATGCAAATCAAACAAATAAATATATACTATAATATCAGGAAATAGTACATGCTATTAAGAAAACAAATCAAGGTCAATATATAGAAATAATGGTGATGAGGTTTACAAGGTTCATGTTAAATAAAGCAGTCAGGGAAGACTTCTTAGAGAGGTGACTGTAAAACAGGTCCTTGAATAAAGTATGAAAGCAAGTCTCCTGAATAGCTGAGGGAAATAGTTTTACAGTCTCAGGGAGCAGCAAGTATAAAGGCCCTAAGGTAGAAATACACTTGGTATTTTGGAGGAATAGCAAGAAAATCAGTGAGATGGTAAATAAGTAAGCAAGGTGTGTGTGCACGCATACGTGTGTGTGTGTGTATGAGCATGTGTGTGCACGCAGACATCATGAAAAAGGTAGAAGACAAAGTCAGAGAGTTAGGCAATAGACAGAATATAAAAGTCCTTAGAAGAAAGAGACAGAGTTTGGTTATTTGTGAGCATAATGGGAAATCATTGGAAGATTAGAGCAAATAAATGGCATGAATTGAATTACATTTTTAAAAAATACCATTTTGACTGCTCCTTGAAAAACTGACTACAAAAAGGTAAGGAAGGAGTAGGAAGGTACTTCAGAGACTACTATAGTATTTTAAGTTGGAGGGAGTAAAGAATTGTACTAGATCACTATAGGAAGAGTTAGAGAGAAATACTGGATGGTGGTTATATACTGAAGGTACTAGTTAACTAATGAAGACAAGTATAACAGATCTTTGTTAACTAATTCTTGTTCTGAGCAACTGCATAAACACTCATACAATATACAGAGATGTTTAAGGCTGGAGTAGGAGCAGATACAGGGAAAAATAAAGAGTTGTGTTTGAGAGATGTTAAGTGTGAGTTACTACTTTGACATCCATGTTGAGGGAGGAGTCAACAGAAACTCAGTAGAAAGGTTATTAAATATTAAGTGTGGAGAACAAAATAAAGTTTGAAGCAAAATCTATTTCACAGCAAAACTAAAGCTTATGTTAATTTTCTTATCATGCCTTGATTCAAACAGCTTGAAATCAACTTCTGTTTTTATAATGCATGACCCTTATAATGAGCACATAAGAGGAATCAAGAAAGCGCCTTGAGAATTTATTTTATAATATTTGCTATAACTTGATCAGAAATATGCTATTTATTTTGGCCAGTAACTAGACATCAAAGCACCTTCTGTAAATGTAGAATTGTTATAACACTATCCCATAAAATGATATCTTTGCCCAGCTTTGCTTCATTTATTTTGCATCCAATTATAGAAGGAACATGAAACAGATAAATAGCAATGCTGTAAAACCATTAATATGTCAAATTCATAGCAAAAGACTGTTTGATGTATAAGCAATCAGCGATGAGAAAACCCTGCTTGATCAAAAACTTCCTGTTAATCAAGACTAATAGACAACAGACTAATAAATAATCTCTGACACAGAAAAGGCAGCCACATTTAACTGGAAGATGGATTTTACATATGGTTGATGTGATAGAACTATCAAACTAAAAACAACCCCGGGGGCCAGTTTGAATATTCATTTATCAGCCTTACTTTGGATTTAACCTATAATGCAACTGTCAATGAACAAATGGGCTTTTGTGGAAAAGGTGATAAACAAAATCCAATGAATTGGCAATTTGGAAAGTCTTGAAAGAGAATAAATGCTGTAAGATTAAAAACTGAATGGAAGACTTGAGCTCAGATCTCTGCAGGGAAGACAAAAAGCTTCTCACTAAATCAGGTAGCTTTGGTGAACATTGTTTTTTTTGTTTTTTTTTTTTAACATTTCCTCAGAAAGAAACATCTGCCATGCTAGCAATACATTTTAAGAAATTTTTTGAAGAAGGCTTAAATTTTTAATACTCTTATTTTCTACAGCAATTGAAAAGACAGTCTGTATATAAATGGATTATTTTTTCAGTTCAAAAATGGCTAATCTCATTTCCTGGATGAGATGATTTATACAAAATGTACAAAGAGATGGTTTTCTGTAAAGGCAGAGAAATAAGGTTCTTGATCAATACCAGTGGGAGAACTGACACAAACAGAAATAGTGTAGTGATCCCAACTAAAATGCCAATTGGGACAAGACAGTTAACAAACGATCAGAGCACCCTGTGTGTAAAAGCAAAATAAAAGACATATAAACAAAATAAAATCTATGCCAAGAACTCCAACACAATGCTAGTGTAACTGACACTGCCAGGGAGAGGAAGTAATGGGAGAATCGGAGCTGAGAAGAGCTGAACGTCCCGTGCCCCGTGTCATCTTGGAACAGGTTCCAGTTTTGCCTCATCTCTAAACTTTTTTTTTTTTTTTTTTGAGACGGAGTCTCGCTCTGTCGCCCAGGCTGGAGTGTAGTGGCGCCATCTCTGCTCACTGCAAGCCCCGCCTCCCGGGTTCACGCCATTCTCCTGCCTCAGCCTCCCGAGTAGCTGGGACAACAGGCGCCTGCCATCACAACACAAAAGTCAACTCGAATGTTTACATGAGATTTACCAACTATTTCAATATTAGTTATGAAATTCAAAGGTATTTAAATACTGTGTAAGCAACTATTTTATGTGTCAAACCAACCATGAATCTTGATGGAATTCAGCTAAGTGGGCCTCTTTTATTGAGGAAGTAAAATTTACCATAATAGAACATGAAGTCTATGATACGTACATGTCTTCAGAGGTAACATACACAGATGCCAAAGCAAATAATTACCAAACAATTTTTAGAGTTACATAATGTTACGCTTTCTTAAATTTAAGCTAAGATCCACTGAAAGTATAACATTATATGAATTTTTTCTTTAAAAATCAACACTCATCATCAATAAAATATGCAAACAGGAGAGGACATGAAATAAAAGTGTATAATTTAACATAATAAATATAAAGTGAACATACAGGTAAGCATCTTTCAATTCAGAGGCCCCCATTGTATCCATTCCTATCAAATCTCCTGCCCTTGCACTAGTAGAAATGACTCTCTTATTAACTTTACCGTATTTTTTATTACTTTGCTTTCCTTTTTTTAAATTTTATTTTGAGATGGAGTTTCACTCTTGTTGCCCAGGCTGGAGTGCAGTGGCACTATCTCGGCTCACTGCAACCTCTGCCTCCTGGGTTCAAGTGATTCTCCTGCCTGAGCCTCCCAAATAGCTGGGATTACAGGCATCCACCACCATGCTGAGCTAATTTTTTTGTATTTTTAGTAGAGATGGGGTTTCACCATGTTGACCAGGCTGGTCTTGAACTCCTGACCTGAAGTGATCCACCCGCCTCAGCCTCCCAAAGTGCTGAGATTACAGACGTGAGCCGCTGCACCTGGCCTGCTTTCCTTTTGATTTTATTATACATCCATAAATAATTTAGTTTGCCATATTAAATTATAGATTTTTTATGAATGAGGTTATAGTATATGTATGATTTTGTTTCTTGTTTTGTTAGCATTAGAAATCCATTGTGTTGGAGGATTTTTAGCTGTCACTCTTTCCTTTTCTTTGCTGTATAGTATTCCATGTAATGAACACACCATAATTTATTCATTAATTTATATCTTAATGGAAAAATATGTTGTTTAAAATTATTGGTTATTACAAAACAATTCCCTTGTTTTTCAAATGACGAAATTAAGGCCGGTGGTCACAACTATTAGTGGCCAGCTAAGTTAACATTCCCTTGTTTCATGCCTTGTAAATTACTGGGATTTCTACCAGTCTAGTCTGTGTTATTGGCAGTTCCTACTGAAGGGAATGCAGACTCCGCCCTATATCAAGATCAATGCTCAAACTGAGGAAGGAAATCTATTTCTGCTTAAACATCAGGCAGTTAAAAGCATCCCATATAACTTAATTAAATTTACTCTTCAGAATCTTGTTTTACTAATATTGACACTGAAAAATCTGGGGGAGAGGGAAAAAACCCTAACGTCTTACATATTTAAAAGATATAAATATTGCCTGAAAATTAGATTGATTGTATCATGTACAGTACATAATTTTTCAACCTCCAACAAAGGAAGTGGCAATCTGTCTTCCTGGTATGTTCAGTGGGAATAATGTAACTAATGTATCCATTTAGTTGGACACAGAAGACGGTGGTAAATTTCCTTGTGAAGAGCAAGGTCTAATGAGAGTACTTTGTGACAGATCAGGTAAGATATCTTGTATTTCTTGAACCTCATGACACTGGCATTAAGATACAAACTTTGAGTAAGATATTGTATTACATGTCTCTGAGATTTTTTCCAACTCTAATACTCATTCCTTTATTCTAAAAATATTTATTGAGACTCAATTCTGTGCCAGATCCTTTGGAAAGCACTTGGCTAAGATTTTGAACAAAATCAAATACTCTATTTACTCAAGTTATAGGCTTTGGAGGTTGAGATATAAACAAATGATCCCACTCAGAAATACATCATTCCTAAAAAGTGCCCTGAAGGAAACTGATATGGTTCAATGAGAAGCACACACACACACACACACACACACACACACACACACACGACAATAACTAGCCCGGGCAGAAGAACAACAGGGCTGCTTCCCTGAGGAGGTAGTACTGGAGATAGCGCTAAGCATAATTTGGGGTTAACATAGGCAAGGAGTAAACCAGTCCAGGGAGAAAGAGATGCTTGGATAGATGTGTATGGAAGAAACACTGGCATGATCAAGGAACTGATGCCTGTAGTGTGACAGATGGGCAGAGAATGGGGGAGAAATCATGCATCCTGAAGCTTGAGAGAAACAGACAATGTGGGCCTCCTTGGCCATGTTAAGGACTTTAGCGTCGTTCCATTGCTGTCTGGTAAGAGGACAGAGAGGGCATTGAATTTATAGTGGTACAAATTTGTGTGCTTTAGTTACAATACAGGACACACACAGGCAATGCCTTAGATACATAGTAAGAAAATAGGTGATAAGCAGATCTTAATGCTGGATCAGGGACAGGGTGAGACCACGTTTTAGGTCATGTGAAACTGGAAGAAGAGACAAGCCACTCACTTGGTTGAAAAATACTGAAGCAAACTTATATTAGTGCAGGGAGGAGGTAAAAAGTTGAGTTTTCTTGTTTTTGTTTCTGTTTTTTTTTTTTAAATTTTTATTTCCATAGGTTTGGGGGGAAACGGGTGGTATTTGGTTACACGAGTCAGTTCTTTAGTGGTGATTTCTAAGATTTTGGTGCATCCATCACCCAAGCAGTACACACTGAACTCAATTTGTAGTCTTTTATCCCTAACCCCTGTCACCCTTTCCCCGGAGTCCCCAAAGTACATTGTATCATTGTATTCTTATGCCTTTGCAATCTCATAGCTTAGCTCCCACTTGTGAGTGAGAACATAGGATGTTTGGTTTTCCATTCCTGAGTTACTTCACTTAGAATAATGGTCCCCAGTTCCATCCAGGTTGCTGTGAATGCCATTAATTTGTTCCTTTTTATGGCTGAGTAGTATTCCATCAGATATATTATATATACATAATATATATATTTTATATATATAAATTTTTATATATTTTATATATATTATATATTATATACAATTATTTGTATATAATATATGTAATGAATATATATTATATAATATATCTGATGGAATACTATGTAATATATAAAATACATATATTTATAATATATAATATATAAAATATAATATATAAAATATATGTTATATATAATATATATATTATATATAATATGTAATATATTATATATTATATATAATATGTAATATATTATATATTATATATAATATGTAATATATTATATATTATATATAATATGTAATATAATATATATTATATATAATATGTAATATATTACATATATGTAATATATATAATATATTATATATACTATATATATATTATATATACCACAATTTCTTTATCTGCTAATTGATTAATGGGCATTTGGGCTGGTTCCATATTTTTGCAATTGCAAATTGTTCCTTACTCCTGCAAGAATGGCCATAATAAAAAAAGAAAGAAAGAAAGAATAGATGTTGGTGTGGATGCGGTGAAAAGGGAACACTTCTACACTGCTTGTGGGAATATAAACTAGTACAATCACTATGGAAAACAGTGTGAAGATTCCTTAAAGAACTAAAAGTAGAACCACCATTTGATTCAGCAATCCCACTACTGGGTATGTGCCCAGAGGAAAATAAGTCATTACATGAAAAAGTTTGGTTTTCTATACCTTTGTGACCTCCAGTCTGGACCTCAAAGGTGAAGTCAGAGTTGGAAGTAGACGTTTGGTATTCAAAGACAGGAAGATGGTAATGAAGCATAAGATACCTCAAGGAGAGAACACGCAGCTAAAAGAAAAAGAGGTTTTAAGGGTAAGCCTGAGGAAATACATCGCGCAATGGCTGAGTAAGGCACATGAACCTGAATGGGGATGGGTAAGAAGCGGGTAGGGAAATAAGACAGAAACCAGTAGGCCATGGTGTTATAGAAGCCAAGAGAAAAGAATGTGCCAGAAATCAAATGAGGGATCACAAAGAGGGACCAAAACCTGTAAAAAGGCCATGAAAAATTTTTATAGGACTTTGTTCTTAGCTCAGCTAAAAACAGGGTCCTTGTCACACGGCCAGGACAGATTAGGCTCCCAGACACTTTGAAGGGTGAGTAAAATGGAATTTATTGGGCAAAAAGAAAAAAACTCAGCAGAGCGAGAGAGGTTCCTGTTAACAGGCCCACGTCTCAAAGATTGAATCCCCAGGTAACCACCCCAAAACAGGAGACGCCAGGCTCTTCCCCGCTGCAAATGGCGCAAACTTCCTGAGGCTCTACGCCAGTGCGCACTTGTCCCAGTAGACGGGCCAGTCTTCAGGGTCCTCTTTGTACTTGGCTGTCTCAATATGAATGCTGAGAATGTCTACTAGATACAGTGGCAGAGTCACTGGTGACCTTAATAGAACAGTTTGTGGGGAGTGTTAGGGCAGAAGCCTTAGAGAGTTGTGATATATGTAGGGAAAGGAGACAAAATGGAGGCAGTGCTTATAGACAACACTTTAAGGAACTTTGGGGAGAAATGAGATGACTGTTATTGAACCTGCATGGTGTTTGTTTCTAATCTGGAAAGAGTTAAAGTTATTAAGAAGGGCGTAAGATCTAAAATAATTATAGGGCCTGAGAAATAATGAGGGATTACATCAACGAATGCAACAGAAAGAAGAGGAAAGGATGGTGGAGAACATAACAGAACTTAACAGGAAAGGGTGGTGGAGAACATAACAGGTAAGACTGCAACTATTGGAACAGGAAATTCATGAGTCCCCAACTGAGGGCTTCATTTTTCTCTGGTCTTATGCTATGGACAGAGAGTCAGAAAGTTATGAAACTATTTTTTTCAGTACTAGTGAGGTTTTTCAAAACATCTTCAATTAATACCCTTCTTTTCTTTCTGTTCAATATTTGTACTGCTGCTGTTCAGTCAGCAAAATTATACTGGATACTTTCATACAATGTTTAATTGGATGTATTTCTGATGTTAGTGAAAATTCTCAGGAGGTATTGTGCATTTCTGTTCTCTGATATGGTCGATAATCTTTATGATTCCAAACAATTCTCCTAGTACTTTTTCTTTCAGTTTCCTTCGGTAAGGAACGGATTCATGGTTAATTTTCTGTAGGCTGTATTAGGGTGTCTGAGGCTGTCACATTTGATATTTAATGTGAAGGAGACTGGCATACCTCATCTGTTTTACTACATCCCTGTGGAAACATCAAGCTGATGTTTGAGATTACATCAGTCAAGATCCATCCAAGAAAACAGAAACCATTCTAAGTGTTTGAAGTTCAGGGAATTCAACCCAGGGAGTTGGTTAAACAGGTGAAAGAAAAACCAAGAAATCAAACAGCAATGAGTCAACCTATACATTAATCGCATAGTAAATCACACTCTCCTCAAACCTAGAGAAACAAATGGAGAAGACAGGGGTGTCAAGAGTTTACCCATCAAAAGCTGGAAACACTGGGCTTGCCCAGAAGGAGCTGGAGCCCAGAAAGTGGTTCAGATGCTGTTGAACCCGAGAAGTTGTCCAAGGTGGAAGAAGTGAGAGAAAAGAGCCTGGCTTCTCCCTTCTAGCTTGATTATGAAACTTGCAGATGACCCTCCCCTGCCATCTCAAGACACAACGTACAGCAGTTGAATGTCAAGAAATGAATGTGACAACGCAAGCCAAATACCACTTAGAGGTTAACTGAACTCTATAACATTGTCAAAATTTCATAGAACATCAGTTTTGAGGACCTGATGCATTTCTGTAAGTTTCATACCTAGTGCATGTTCATTATGGTATAGAGGCTCAAGCAATGGCATTTTCCCCCTTCTTTTTTCTTCCTCACAAAGATGACTTGTTTTATCCACTTTACCCCACTACCTGTGTAATGATTTCTAAACGGTGATACTGAGCTAGTAAAAAATATCTTCAAGAAATTAGATAAATATATAGATTTCCAGGTCATATGAGAAAGTTTGAGTTAAGGCTCACAAGTCTGAATTTAAATAAAACCAAACAAACACAAGTGATTTTAATGAAGTGTTGTACTAGTGAAGCCAGGTTCAGGGAACAAATATAATCATACTGGGACACATTCTACTGTATATGAATTTCTTGCCACCAACATCCTGGAATATAACTCTAGTCTTTGTTCTGGCTCCATTGATAGCTTCCCACATCATAAATCAGGATACAGCCTTTCAACTCTCACTAGGGAGACTTGCTTTTTTTATTATAATAATTTGGAAACTAAATAATTTTGCTCTGTTTTTCCCATTCCTCTCTATCTCATTCTTACCACAGATATTCAAAAGAGTTAGTAGAGTGACAAGATTATATTTTAAGTGAACTTTGTTTTAAGGTAGAAGTGCTCAATATTAAAAGACAAACAAACAAAATACAAACATAAAATATGAAGTAAACGTTAGGCTGAAATCCGAAGCCAAATAAAGCACATGATAAATGATTCAGTGAAATTACCCAGCACAAATACATTTTAGATTCTTTTTCAGAGGAAACCCACTGAATTCGACAATTAGAAATTAATTTGGGAGACGGTCACCTGAAATTAAAAGAAAATTATTCAGCATAATAGCAATTCAAGAACTACTTTGTCCTTCCCTATAGAAGCACAACACTCTAACAGAAGTATAAATGATGTAACAGACAGCATTTGAATCCAATTACTAAGCTCCATATGCTATATGATATTTAAACAGCTGGACCTGCTGTTTCTATATTAAATAATTTATTTTTAACAGGTTTATGATTTATAGTAGTGTTACTGATTTAATGAGTCATAAGAAGTTCGTTTTTATCTTGCAAGATTCCCCCTCCCGTGCAAGCAGGTATAAACCATTTAAAAAAATGTTAATCATCATATAATGTTCGGTTTTGAAATACGGATTAAAACAGAAAGTCAGCTAAGCATCTCTACTTATCATTAGGAATCCACCAGCAGTCTGTAGTAGTATTTCCCTCCAAATTTACCCCAATGTTATTGACATTTACTTTTTACTAACCTCTATATTTCAAAAGCAATTTGAGGAGTTAGCTTAATTCCAGTTTTGTTATATATCAGTCATGTCCATTTTGATGAAAAAATATTTTGCATATCGATGTTTTAGGTGGGATGGGATAAGACATATTGGTATTTGGTGGGGAAGGAAGGTAGTCTTGTCACTGAGCAAGTGACTGTTGTGTGCAGTGTTGGATCTGCCACCTACTCCTTACTGGTTATCTCAGGGATGTCCATTCACTGCTTTTATTCATCTATTATGTTGTTAAGTGAATGGGTAAGTTTACTGCCTTTGCAATGAGAAATTGTGTAAATTCCCTTCAAAAAGTCTGGGAAGTCATGGGAGATGGTTAAAAACAAAATTAGTTAAAGGTATTCAGATTCAGTCCTTTCAACTGTTAAATAGCTATAATAATCCCTACCCCAGAGACTTACAGAGACATTGTGGAAATGAAGTTAGATAATACGATAAAATGCTTGTGAAATCACCTTGTACATTTCAAACACTGAACAGAATGTCCTCACTTAAGGTCAATAGTTTCTTGAAAACCGTGACTTTAACCAAAACAATGTACAGCAGGGCCTCAAATATTGTAATTTCCTTCAATATTGTCATTTCATTATAATTTTGATGAGAAAAAAATTGGTTTTGTTTTACATCACTTTGCTTAAAGTCACAGTTTCCAAGAACCTATCAACAATGTTAAGTGAGAACATAATGTACAATGTACAGGCAGTTTTCCCTTTAGCTAAAAAATCAGCATATGTGGAAATTAAAACCACCAAAAGTATTTTCTTTCATTGATAGCTCTATAATTCCTTTATTTCAACTTTCTCCTGAAAGGAAAATATGTACTTATTAATGTTGGAGATAAAACACCAGATATGACTCAATTATTTTCACATGAATCTTTTATGATTTCAACAAAGACTTGTTTTACAATTTAATTCATTGGTGACTGTAAAATCTAGTCAATTTTGCTTAGGTTACTGCAATGCTTGCATCCAGCTGTGAAGATAGTGGCAGGCTATGCACTGATCACTCAAATAAATATTTAAATGAAATTCTTAGAACATTCTGTTAAAATTGCTAAATACCCATGGAATCAAAACAAATCACTTGACACCTAGCCATCTGAAATTTTTAGACTCATAGTTTTGAAACATGTTGGTAGAAGGAATCTTTGTTATGGACACAGAGCTAGTTTTCCTATTTCACCTCCGAAAATGTGGTAAGCTATATATATCTAGCCACCAATACAGTGTTTCCAACTAATATCAGTTTTCACCAATAATAATTTTTCATTAATCCTGATAAGAGCAAAGACTTTTTTAACAACATATTCTCACTAGATCTTATGACTGGCAACACTGGAGTAGGTATGCTTAAGAAAAATAAAGTATCAATATAATTCAATTATAAAATAGGATAATTTTTTATAAGGTAGCTGGACCTCATTATTTGCATGGCTCTGTAGTCACTCAGATCCTGCAAGTTCTATGATTAATGATTCAATTAAATATCTTCTTGGCCTGCTGCTTAGCTCAGTACAAAAAAAAAAAAGAAAAAAGAAAAAAATCCCTATTTCATAAGATACCTTTAAGTAGGGTCTATGTTTACCTTAGTAAAAGTATTGAGAACTCTGTTTTGCTTAGAATTTACTTTAAAAAAATAGTCAGTCTGGTTTTGGACTTAGGAATTTATAATCTAATACATATATTATCAAATATGCAAAATATAGAAATATTTATGTAAAGAAACTATACATTATTAATAATTTGCATATGTTATGAATAAAATATCTGAATAAAATTTTTGTTCCCACAATAATATGTACCACTTCTCTAGAAAAACAAGGATTTAGAACACTTTAAGAAGGAAAGACAGGTATGCTGGAAAAACATTCTTAGTTCTTTGATCCCCTTGTCTTTACTTAAAAGCAATCATTTTTGTTACAATTCTACTCCTGCTCGGAAGTGCTGTGGAAGTACTGTTTATAATTAGAGATCATTCAGATCTGTCCAGGATCCAGTATTTTATTGCAATAGTTTTCTTAAAATTATTTTTTCACACCAATTTTGATTCAAAACAGCCCAAGAATCAAGACATTCACAAAAACTGACTTTACTACAGCATTTTTCTGTTACATATGAAAATGTATGTATACACCACTGCCTCAGATAATTTTAAAAAGAATGATTTAGCTATGCATTACCAGAAATATCAAGGATCATATTGAATTATGGTTGTATATAAAGAGATAATCATCTACAATAATAAGTAAAACCAAGACTTATAATGGACATGCATATACTACACCAAAGACGATGGAAGTGTCTCATGGACAAAAAGGGTACAAAATCCCTCTTTCTGTACACGCACTGGCAAGTGCTGACACAGTTGGGCCAATTCTTTGAGATCCTTACTTTCATTTCATAGTTTACACTACATGACCTGCAGCAAGCCAGACCCCAGCAACAGCTTCACTGACTACTTCCGACATGGAATTCTCACTACTTTGTCCGCTTATCTGCTTATGAGCTGATGGACTTTCTCCATCAGCTGGGCATGAGGAAGTGAAGGGAAGAAAACTAATGAAAACTAAATTTTAGACAGTTCCTTTCCTCCTTCTGAAATTTTTAGTCTTTCTCTGTGTACACAGAAGTGTTTTGGGGGAGAGATCAGGGGTGGAAGAGAAGAGAAAAAAAGAATCACTTTAAAAGCCTTATCTTTGTCTTTTGTTCTTGAGATCTGTGTAGTCTTGGGAAAAGCTGTCCAACTATAAATTGTTAAGAATCTTAACTAGAATTTACTTAAAATCAAATATAACAATAAAGAATAGAGTGAAGCAGCCATATTCTGGCATATTCTGGCCAAAAGGGGGCTTAAAGAAAAAAAGAAACAAAAAGAAAGGGGGAGGCAAAAATATGGTAAGTGAAGACAGTAACAGAAGAAAGGGTAGAGATTAGTTCCTAAATACTTTTGCCACTGAAGGTTTCATTTTAGAAAGGCTGTTTTTGATGTATGATGACAGGGAATAGATCTGAGTAAGCATGATGACTTTCAACTCTACTCACAAATTTAATAAAATCCTAAGGGATCATAAACTGGCAGCTGCTTTGTGAAAATGAAATGCTAATGTTCACAATTATAATTTTTATACCCATAGCCATAAAATATATAAAAGTATTAGGTTCTTTTCTAATGCAATACATGTATGATTTATGTGTATTACAGCAGATTAAATCTTTTGAGGTAAGAGGGGAATAAAAAGCACCAATAAGTATGTGTTTGGTCATTTGAAATATGCCTCCACAGTTTCATCTCAAAAGTACTTAAGTAGATAAACATCTATTTGGAGGTAAGAATAAGAGGAACATTTTACCTGAGGCAAGAATCTTAATATACCACTCTAAAAACAGAGAGAGAGTCATGACAGTATTGCATGCTGCTGACATTTTAAACAATGTGAGATAAGAATAGAAACAGTTTTACATGTTAAGAAAGTTTATTACAGATCATGCTGATATGTTAAAAAGCTTTTATAAAGGAAAGAAATAGGGGAAAGTGGGGAACCACCGATGTGTTAAGAGATGGAGGGAGAGAGGTCTGGACAATGACCGCAATGAAACCATGAATAACTGTATTTCCATTGGCAGTAAATTATCACAGATTAGAGAACTAGAAATCATTAATGGATTTCTGGATCCAAACAGAACAGCAGTGCCAATACAGTGTTTAAAAACTGAAAATATATAAAACAAAAAGAAAAGTTTCCTACAATATGTCTAGGGGGTAATATGAGTGAAAATGGATGGATTCACAGGACTGTGCAACCAAATCAAAGAAGAAAGCATAGCCCTCTTTCTGAAATTAAATATTGATTCATTAATATATTAGGCACCATAATTGAGGCTTATGGGCCTGGGCCTCAGAATATAGCCTTAAATTCTGGCCCTACAGTTTAAGACACATATAATCCTGTGTAAATCATTTCACTTTCTTAAGCCATGTTTTTCATTTGTGAAATGGGTACAATAATGTCACCTCATAGGATGTCTATGGGAATTAAATCAACTTAATTTTTAAAACAATTCACAAAGTACCTGGAACTTATTGTCAATAAGTGACTTGATTCTACTTATTGAGTGAATTCTATGTAAACAAGTCTTGGGAATAATTTTGAAAGGCTCCATGTAAAATGTAGGTTATTTCCCAAGACTGACTAAAATGGTTTGAGGATACTAAATAGATCAATACAAAAATATATTTCTATTGATAAATAAACTTGACTAAAATAAATTTATAAGAGAGAGAGAGAGTGTGTGTGTGTGTGTGTGTGTGTGTGTGTCCTCAGCAAAGGAGGATTTTTAAGGACAAAAAGATCTAAGTTTCAATTAAAATATCACAGACACACCAAGTATGGAATCTCAATCTTAGCTGAATAACTCCAAAATCATAATAAAATGTAAGTACTTCTCATTTGCTGAGAATAACAGCAAATGACAGTTTTATTCATTTCTGGTATAAAATGTTCAAGTTCATTTAATGAACCATGATATTCCTTAATACACCTAGTGAACACAAATTTGACCATTACTTTTTAAGCAATTTTGTATATATAGCATTAATTTTTCTTGACAGATGAGGAAAGGTACATGTAGTATGAACAAATAAAAATTTTACTTGGAAAAATTATTTTTAGGATCCTTTTGCTTAACTTCTGTTTGATTTATGACGTCTTCCAATTGTTCATGATGTAATTTGATTTGAGACAATATAAAAAAAATTGACCAGATCCTAACTAGAAGTCTCAAGTAAATAGAGGAAACTGAGAAAGAAATATATCCATGTAATGTGCAGACACATGAAAATTTCTTGGAAAACTTAACACTGTCATCACTTTGTTTATTCTAAAACATTTCTGAGATGCTGTTAGGTATTATAATAGGCACTGAGAGAGTTTAAAGTAAGTGAAACAGAGTCAAATATTTTATTAATCGTAATATTAACATTCTATAAACACACAGAACAGTATCTTAGGAAAATATAGTGTTATACTCTGTATAAAGAAGCACTAAATTAAAAATTAATTGAAACAGAGCATTCCTCTT
Organism: Homo sapiens; assembly: GCF_000001405.40. Taxonomy (NCBI): domain Eukaryota; kingdom Metazoa; phylum Chordata; class Mammalia; order Primates; family Hominidae; genus Homo; species Homo sapiens. Next base: position 92,022,902 of record NC_000013.11, on the reverse strand, counting down.
TCTTAATTTGTTTAATAATTAACAAATATTTGAGTAATTATTATTTAATATCATACGCTTATTTTTAAGACCTCATTTCCCCTTATTTATATCAAGGATGTTATTTTACAACATTCTATAAAGGAATGCTAACAATTAAAATGATTATCTCCCACTTACAGATTAAAGTTATTTTATATTTGGGGCTGATTTTGAAAATTCTAGGAGTTTTAGTTGTAAAAGTAGTAGATATTAAAAGATATAACCTAAGCACTCTTTTACCTTTAAAAGTAACTACAGGTCCTAATATTTTATTATTTAATTTTTTATTAAAATGTATTCAAATATTTTAATATATGCTTTTATTTATTAAACACACAATTATTAAGATCCACCATGTACCTGACTCAATGTAATTTCACAGGCATACAGAGATGAATAAGACAGTCTATGTCTTTGAGGTACTTACAAGCAAAGGAAGCCAACACCTGTTTAGGCTTCACCCTTTTAAACTATTCCCAGTCTATTCATATGTTATTTTTACTTTTAGTAGTCTAATCCTATAGACTAAAACCGGCTTCAAGAATCTCCCCCACAACTGCTATACAATCAAAAGATTTCTGGGCCAGGCACGGTGGCTCACCCCTGTAATCCTAGCACTTTGGGATGCCAAGGCGGGTGTATCACTTGAGGTCAGGAGTTTGAGACCAGCCTGGCCAACATGGCAAAATCCCATCTCTACTAAAAAATACAAAAATTAGCTGGGTGTGGTAGCACGTGCCTATAAATCCAGCTACTCGGGAGGCTGAGGCTGGAGAATCACTTGAACCTGGGAGGCGGTGGTTGCAGTGAACCGAGATCATACCACTGCACTCCAGCCTGGGCAACAGACCGAGACTCTGTCTGAAAAAAATAAATAAATACAATAAAATAAATAACAAAAAACAAGCAAAAATTTTCTGAAATAAATCAATGTTCCTCACTATAGCAAAATTGCGTGTGCTTAAAAGTGAATTCTGGACAGTTTGACTAATAATCTAAATGATTATTATTGGAATGGTGGATGTAGCTTAAAAAGAGAAAGGGAAAATCTGAAATTTCTAAATGGATTGGCATAGATGAACATTTCTCATTTTGGATCTGTTTATATGGATTTATACAAACTATACTATAAATATTAAAACCCAGATAGATAAATGGATAAAGCCTATTGTTAGGCTATTGACAGAAGTAGAATTATAACTGATATTCTTATGAAAATAGCTGTAAGTAGGATTTTTATTTTATTTTGGAAAGAACACTTAATATGATCTAGCCTCTTAACAAAAGTTTAAGTGGACAACGCATTATTGTTGACCACAGGTGCAATGTTATACAGCAAATCTGTAGAGCTTATTCATCCTGCCTGACTGAAAGTTTATACCCACTGATTAGAACCTTCCCAGTTCCCTGCACCTGGCCTGGCCATCATCATTCTACTCTTTCACCCCATGCTTTTGACTACTTAGATATCTCATATAAGTGGAATCACACAGGATTTGTCTTTCTGTGACTGGCTTCTATTATTTAGCATAATGTCCTCTAGGCTCATCCATGCTGTCACGTATTGTAGAATTTCCTTTTTAAATGCTGAATAGTATCCCATTTCATGTATATACCATACTTTCTTTATCTGTTCATCTGTTGATGGGGATTTATTTGTTTCCAAATCATAGCTATTATGAACAATGCTGGTAATATCTCTTCAAGATCCTAATTTCAATTCTTTTGAATAAATCCTGTTGAATAAATCCTCAGAAGTGGAATTTCTGGATCATATGGTAGTTTTACACAATTTAGGAGAAAATAGTTTCTTCAACAAATGGTGTTGAAAACTGGATACCAACATGCAAAAGAATGAAATTAGACCCTTATTTTATGGCGTACACAAAAATCAACTCAAAATGCATTAAAGACTTAAACGTATGACCTAAAACTGTAAAATTGCTAGGAGAAAATCTTCATGCCATCGGTCTTGGCAATGATTTCACGAATATGATACCAAAAACATAGGCAACAGAAACAAAAATACACAAGTAGGATTGTAACAAATTAAAAATCTTCTTTACAGTAGAGGAAGCAATTAACAGAGTGAAAAGGCAATCTACAGAATGGGTGACAATATTTGCAAGCCATATATTTGTTAAGGAGTTAATCTTCAAATTCTATGAGAAGTTCATAATAGTAAAAAAAAAAAAAAAGAATAAACTAATAAAAAATTGGACTAAGGATTTGAACACACATTTCTCCAAAGAAAATATACAAATGGCCAACAGGTATATAAATAGAATGCTCAGGTATATGAATAGAATGCTCAGTGTCACTAATCATCAGAGAAACCAAAAACCACAATGAGATATCATTTCACACCTGTTAGATGGCTATGATGAAAAAAAAATAGACAAGTGTTGGTGAGGAGGTAGAAAGCCTGAAACTGTTGCACACTGTTGGTGAGAATGTAAATTGGTGTAACAGCTATAGATTAATTTGTCTCTTAACAACAAACTTAAAAATTCCTTGCATTAAGCAGAATAATGGTTCCTAGAGATGTCTCCTTCCTAATCCCCAGGTCTGTGAATGTGGTAGGTTATGTAGATTAAGGATAAAAGTTGCAGATGGAATTAAGCTTGGTAATCAGCTGAGTTTAAAATAGGGAGATTAAATAGGATTTTACAGCTGGTGAAATTACAAGCTTTCTTAAAAGTAGAAGAGAGACAGAGCAGAGTCAAAGAAAGAAATAGGACTATGAAAGAAGGCTCAGAGAAATGCAATGTTGCTGGTTTTGAAAATGAAGAAAGCAGACTATGAGACAAGGAATATGAGTGGTCTCTAGAAGATGGAAAAGGCAAAGAAATGAATTCTTCTCTAGAGCCTCTGGAAATAAACATAGCCCTACCAATAACTTGATTTTAGCTCAGAGATACTCATATCAAACTTCCAATCTCCAGAATTATAAGATAATAATTTGTTGTTTTAAGCCACCATGTTAGTGGCAATTTGTTATCACACCAAATAGAAAACTAATGAATTATTCAAAGTAGCAAAATTAGCCACTATACATGAAATAAAGTGAATGCCAAAAGAAAATGAAAAAGTACAGTTCTATTCTTTCATTTTTGTTTAGAGTCCAAGGAATGTCCCACCAAATGCCATCTCTTTTATCTATACAAATTTATTTTGGTTATTATTGATCCCACATAAACCTAAAACATTTTATTGGCCAGAAACATGCATCATAGTGATATAATTAGCTCTCCATTTTAACACTGGAAAGTCTCTAGTGGACATTTTAGACCAGCCTGTTCACAGCTGAATCACCACTTAGACACAGAGAAACATGAGCAACAGAGATTCATATTATATTCTGCATGAATTTGTTCTCTTACTTTAGGTTCATATTTTGTAGTCATGTAAGATGTAGCAAAAAAGAAGTAAGATTTGGATTATTTTCCTTCAAATTATATACACACACACATTCACATACACCTATGCAATATTCAATAATCTGTTACAATCACGTACATAAGCTGTGTCTTCTATATTAAAGACCAATATTTCTGGAACTTATTTATAGACAGATAATAGTAAAACGTTCAGAAATATGGATATAAGTATGCTTATATACTTATGCATACTTATATATTAAGCTATAATATATAGAGCTTAATATATATAGAGAGAGAGTATGTGTATGTAATAACTTGAAGGAAATATTAATTGGAGAGTATAAGGCAATAATAAATAACAACACATATCCTTAAAAAGGCACTTGATTTTATTAGCATATATGTATATTTTAGTAAAATTAATGTGTTTCCAATGTAATGTGTTTCTTAATTCTCTTTCAGTAGAAACAATATCGAACATACACCAATATTTTATTATTGATTAAGTACCAAAGAATCTAACAATATTTAGGAAGATACTAATGAAACCGTTAGTGTGCCTTCTACCATATTCATGATTTTAAGTTTAAGCATCAAAGTTTGCTCTGCATCCTTTAGTTTTTGTGTTGGGTTTCAAACAAGGAATTATTTTCATAAAAATGATTTTGTTATAGAAATGTACTTTTATATTTATTGGCATATACTATTGAAAAATATCCTGAATTCTTAGTGATTATTTATGATTATAACTAATTATAAAAACCCATATCATAGAAAAAAGGACCTATTAAAAATACTGAAGAATTTGAAAATCTTGATTTCTAGTTACGTATTTTTAATGACATCTTTTGAATTCTTCAGAATTTGAGCTTTTTTCTTAAACTTCACTTAAATATATAATGACATAAACTGCTCCCCCACCACCCCAGAGATTGAGGATGATTAGAAGCATAAAATATTTGAATTTGGTTATCCTGTGTTGTTTTTCTTTTTTTAAGTACCATTCAAACACAAATATTGAATAAAAAACAGGCACGTTACGTTTTGTTTCTGTCCTAGGAGATGGGATAATATTAGATTTCCTCTTATTTCCCTCTTCCTTATATAGTCGAACTCCCCAAAATTCTGTTCATATCTACATAAAGCCATTAAACTAAACTTTTTAGGTGAAACCTTTTTTTAAACATACACATATAAAAATATTTTTTACTATTTTATAATCTGAGGATATTATGGAATCCAAGGCATATACTAATTGGATGCTGAAACAATTTTAAAAAGACTTACTTATTGTAAAAAATAAATGCCTACCTTTGGTAGGCATTTATGCAATTCTCAAAGAGCTGTTGCACCGGGGTTGCATTTCATTAGCAATGAATTTGGCAATTCTGAGAATTTGCTCCAGATACCAGTTCTTTAAAAAGCCCTCAGCCACTAAAGGCCCAGGTGTTTTGTGGAAGCTTGTGTGTGTGTGTACTCGTGCATGTGTATGTGTGTACTCGTGTGTGTGTGTGTGTACTCGTGCTGCACGTGTATGTACTCGTGCATGTGTATGTGTGCATTTTGTGGAAGTGTGTATGTACTCATGCACGTGTACGTGTGTATTTTGTGGAAGTGTAGGTACTCATGCACGCGTATGTGTGTATTTTGTGGAAGTGTGTATGTGTGTGCTCATGCGTGTGTGTACTCATGCGTGTGTGTACTCATGCGTGTGTGTGTACTCATGCACGTGTGTGTTTATTTTGTGGAAGTGTGTGTGTACTTGTGCATGTGTGTGTGTACTTGTGCACATGTATAGACACACATGGGTCTTATGATTTCTAAAAGGCACTGTGCACTGATTATATGCCATCCACTGAATCATATTTTTATATGAATTTTCTTTTTAATACAGAAGTTCAACATCTTATAATATTATTTGGAACTTTAAAAATGTGAGTTGACCGACCAGCTCTCAGAAAGGTGGGGACTTTATGTATAAAACAAACATAAGACAACCCTGAAGTCTGAAGAAATGATAACCTGCCAAAGGACACTGTGGCATGAAGGATGACTTGGCAGTGAGTTATTTGGGTTTTGTTTTTGCATCACTTATCCCAGATTGAATGCTGGAAAAGCCAGAAAACCGGGATGACCAATGAGTACAGGCAGAAAAAAAGAGCCAGCTCTCTCTACCTAAGAACCAGAAAAGGATCAGCCTACCAAAACAGAAAATATTAAACAATAACATATCACTAGGAAAAGTCAGTGGAAGTCCTAGATCTCCACTCTTACCAGGTTGTAATGAGTTGGTTCAGCCACCAGCCTCAGCACTCTTGGTGTCCGAGGATGCTAGGTGGAAAACCAACCTTTATTCCTGCTAGAGAGTAAAGAGCCCCTACACCACAACCACCAACTCCACCACGCCACCACAGTGTAAAAGGATACCTCATGGGTTGGTGTAGAGATTCCCAACACCACCCAGCATCGACAGGCCATTGTTCCCCTCTCTGCTAAAGTCTTGTCAAAAGAAATGTAGTGGAGACAGTACTTTCACCATTGTCCAGAGGTAATGAGGCCACTGTACTCCCTATAATATCAGTAGAGGCCATTGGGAAATAGTAACAAAGCATTCCTACTCTTCCCAGGCAGGATGATATTAGTGGAGACTCGGCTGAAGAGGAGAACTGAGTGAACCCAGAAGGCGGAGGTTGCAGTGAGCCAAGATCGCACCACTGCACTCCAGCCTTGGTGACAGAGCAAAACTCTGGCTCAAAAGAAAAAAAAAAAAAGAAGAAAAGAAAATAAGAGAAAACATTTTTATTTTACAGGATTTTAGTTAAAATGGCTGTCAAAATAACACTCAAATATGAAACCACATTCAAAGAGCCTATATTGATTCACACCATTTAAAAGCTTAGGCGTGTATTGGCAGTAATACATTAAGCACAGAAAGGTGCATAAATATGTGTAGAATCAAGCATATGAAATCAAAAACAAGAAAGAAAATAAAATTTAGAATCAGAAGTTGAATTATAGGTCATCCACCCTAAATTCTTGCTTATAACAATTACAGGGTCACTAGAACATGGCAAATCTCAACATTACTGTCACGTAGCTGTGAGCCTTTAGATAAGATGATTCATTCCGAAAAGCTTCCAATTTGTTTCCTGCAGAATAAAGACAACGATTCCCATTTCATAAAACAATGTATAAATAATATATGAAAAACATGTATAACATTATGTCTGACATATTGGAAATACTGAAGAAATGGTAGACATTTCATTATAAATTCTTTTTCTTTTTCCTCTGCTACCCTTTCCACCAAAAGTCTGTACTTCAAGTTCCATAGCGTGCATTTGACATTGAAAAGTGCAAGCTGCTCTCCCAGTAACCACTTTCTTGACCCGATTCTTATCTAAATGTGGTCATGTACTAATTATTGCCACTGCAGAGGTAAATGGAAGTGATGTGTATCAGAATAAAAACTTCAGAAGTGATTGTGCCTTTTCCACTTATTTCCCTGCACTGCAGAATTACTGCATGAAGAAATGCACCCATCATCCAGAAGCAGTAGAGTAGATTGTTGTATGGACAATATATAAGCTATTTTTTGTGTAAGCATTTAAAAGTAAATAAAAGAGATGTTCAGTGAGGTATATTTCAACTCCCAAAATAATTCTATTCATTCATTTATCTGCTTGGCATTTGTTGCAACAATAATTGCTATATATACATAACTGAATCTGAAATAGTTTGTAAAAGATGTGTGGGATAGATGGAGATTGAAAAAAATTAAGCACCTGAAAATCTGTCACATGAAAAAGTTATTCCACCTACAGAATTAAAAAGCTTACTAGGCACAAAATATAAGCTCTTAGTTTGAATTCTACTAATTTGTGACTTACGGGAGATAACTTGATCTCTTTGAGTTTTACTACCTCTCAATAACAAATAAAAACAGTAAACACTAGGTAGTGTAGATAAAAATGTATCTACAATATGCCCATTTGCTTTTCAATTTACTTACTTTTATGTAGTTTTCCTTTTGTAGGAGAAGAGGGACCTGGGTGGAAGATATGCAGTAGCATGTTTCATTTGACCACAATAAATATATTTAGTGAGTAAAATGGTCCTCTAAAATGTGTAACTATAAAAGGGGATTTTATAGAAAAAGGGTTATTTCCTTAGACAGTTAGAACCATATCACTGGTGTTCAGTGTTTTCTCAATCTAAGACAGGGTTTCTAAATAGCATCCGTCACTACTGATATTTTTGGCTAATTCTTTGTTGTGCTGATCTGTCCTGGGTATTGTAAGATATTTAACATATCCTTGGCCTCTACTGCTGGATATCAATACCAACCCTTTCCCCGAGGAAACAACCAAAAATGTCTCTAGACTTTGAAAAGTATTTGCTTGTGGGGCACAGTTTTTACCAAGTTCAGAATCACTGGTTTAAGGTACTTACTAGATGCATCTCAGGGGCTCCAAGGTGAGAAGAATAAGGAACCTCCCTGTGACTGACACTAGATCCCTTGCCCAAATATACACATCAACTTCATCACTCAAATCAGCCACCCAAACTCTTCCATTTCTAAGAATCAAGGCACTCCCATATTTGCTAAGACTATTCAGTTTCTAAGCACACTCTTTTTGCCCAATTTAGAATCATCTTTCTAATGCATAGATCTGAGTGCATTATTTAATACAACAGTGTAAGTATATTATAGATGACCTCAGGAAAAGAAAATATTCAAGATATCACCAACAAATTGAGTCAATAATGTATATATTATACTAGAATAAGTCACTTGTTCATGGTCAACATGAAAAGTTATTTGCATGTTCATATTGTAAAATATTGTAACACACTCTAGAAAATTAATATGGTAACATTAGAGTCTCCAGAATGGATTAGGAACATATTAAACACCAAAAAAAGAAAACCCTTCAAATCTCAAGCAATAGATTCCATTAGAGATATGGAAGTAAAATAATATATTTGATTAAAGGTTCATTGTCAAAGCTTGCCCTTATGTTTTTCTGAATTATACCAGAAATTCCTTTCACATTGTAAGGAGGATACTATTTGGTGTTGGGGCTAACATAAACACCAACAACAACGTGGGCAGGCTGAAGAATTACGATCACCAAAAGAAACACAATGAAAGCCCAGCCAATTCAGCCATTCAAGTTAGAGCATCAGAATTACCTGAAAACATCAGCATATCAAGCAAGAAAAACAGATTTTTTCATGGTGATTATTCTGCCCTCTTAAATTTTGACTTTTGTATCTATAGTCAGCATTACATCATGGGCTTATGCATAATGAGCACTCCATAAGTGTCAGTTACTGTACTAGGAGCTAAGTAGATAAAGGCAAGTCAGAAAATGTTCTGTTCTCATGGCACTTGGAATCTACTATTTATAAAAATGATTAAAGTATGCAAATGCATTTAAAGCCTAATTATCCTAGAAGTCTCAATTTTTTGGATGAATCTTGAAAAATAAACATGATTATTACAGAAACATGATTTCACTATATCTATGATCTCTTACTTAAATTGATGGCAAAAGGTGGCAATATCTGTTTTGGGAAATAATAAATACATATATCATGTTTTAATTTTGATTTATGAAGCTTTATATGACAATTTATAGGTTTTTCTGAACTTATGAAGAATAATTGCAATATAATAAAAATTTTTCATGTTAAAGTTAAAATCAGATAAATATTTGAATAAAAATTTAAAAATTATATGGCTTGGAATCTATCAAGTTGGGTACGTTATTGCTGGGAAAAAGGGAATTTAACACAAGTAATGATAGAGGCAGGAGGCAGAGAAATTTAAGGCAGACAGGGGCAGGTCCCTGGTGAAACCCACCTTTAAGCCAAAGTAGCCTGAAACCCATGGCCCAAAGCGAGAATGTCTATTCCTGTTTGCTCGCTCTCTCCCAATTGGTTCCTTTTGAATAATGCCTTTTTGCCAATCAAATGTTGCCTTTTGCAAAACTACCAATGGCCAACCCCACCTACCCCATCCTGTGCCTATAAAGACCCCAGACTCAGTCAGAAGAGGAGAGAGAAGCAGCTTGACTGGAGAGAGGCAACTTGACTTCAGAAAGACAGCTAGACTTCTCAGGAGAGGTGGCTTGACTTTAGAAAAGAACCAGCTGAACTTCAGGAGAAGATTACCTGCCCATCCCATCCCCTCTCCAGCTCCCCTCTCTGCTGAGAGCCATTTCCATTGCTAAATAAAATTCTCTGCCTTTACCATCCTTCAAGTGTCCAATTGATCAACCTCATTCTTTTTGGATGCTGGACAAGAGTTTGGGAGCCACCAATTGCAGGTATCCAAAAAAGGCTGTCACCACTGGCCCTTTGCTCTTGCTGGCAGAGGGCAGCTGCCACATGCAACGAGGCAAGGGGCCAACTGAGCTGATAACACACAGCTGTCTGCAGATGGAAGAGCTAAGACAGCATGTGACATGCCCTCTGGGGCTTCGGGGTCACAGGCCCCCACAACCTGGTCTGGGTGTGGGCCCCACACAGAGCTTGCTGGCCAGGTCCCACATGCACTCACTTGTGCCTGGTCTGGCTGTGAGTCCTGCACTCACTCACATGCATGCTCCCTCCCACAAGAGGTGAGCACAGCAGGTTGAGTAAATGTTCACCCCCATCACGAGTCTGACAAAGGGGCCAAGAGAAATCCAGCATCAGTAATTCTTAATTCTTATTTTAAAGTTATTTTATAATAAAATGTAAACTTAGATAGCATTTATGTAGAAACATATGATAAGTATTATTACTCTGTGACCAATTCATAGATTGGAATCCAGTGATCCAGTATCAGACAAAACAACCCCAACTTTTTATTTTTTAACTTTATGTCTACAAAAAATAAAGAAATGAATACCTATTGCATGACTAAAGATTCAAATTTATAATTTACTTCAATTAAGTGGTACTTATTTAACTTTCTCAAACCATCAGTAAAAGTGCTATGTTCTTTCATTCAAATGACTTTTGTTTTACAACTATTTGTGATTTTCTCTGGCATCCAAATATGCAAGAAGAAATTCTTTTTTAAAAAAATCAGGATGATAAACAATTAAGTTAAAAGTAACAAGAGGAGATAAAAATGTTTTCCTTTATAAAAGTGTTTATTTTATAATTTAATACAATTAGCATGTTTTGATAGTTTAAGTTCCTATGTATTTATAGCAAATAGGTAGAGAAAAGGCAAAAAGAAAATGAAAAAAATTAAATCGTTTTCAAATCAAGCTATTAAAAAGCAATGCCAAATGAGGATGTTGAAAAATGGAATATATTACTGAAATGACCTTATAAGACAAATAAAACCATAATTTCATTAATAAAATATATTTGACTAAACTCAGGTCTACATTATTAGAGCTTCATATAATATTAAATTCTCTCTTATTATTTTCTAGAAGTTCTACATTGAATTACCCAACTGTGACAGGCTCACTTCCACAGCTATCCTCATAGAATCTCCTCAAACCTTCCCCATTCCGGTTGAGAACAGAAGATTTAGGCTTTTGGAAATAAACTCTTTTCTGTAAGTCTGACTTTTAAAAATCATTATCAATGTGAGCACTGACCTGTGAACATTACAGCAATTAATTGTGGTAGTGCAGATTCTAAATTTGTCAGTGTCCACTCAATTTGTAAAATCGAGTAGACTAATTAAAGATAGTAATATACTGATAAGCATTTTATTACTTTATTCACTGAAGATACCAAACTAGCACTTTATATATAAATGATTTTTAAATGTTTAATTGACTTTGAAAATGTTAAGATAAGGAACAGTCTTGCAAAACTGAGTTCAATAGCTGTTTTCTAATTCCACTGTAATACCCCATAAGAGGATGCCACATTATTATATCATCTCCTGCTGCTCTCACACTGGCAGCATCATCAGTGCCCAGAGGCAGATCTGGGACTAAGATGGCTATTAATGAATCACAAGCTTACAAGGCTTAAAAATATAAATCAAAATTCAATATTTTGCAAATTTCAGATCTCCTTGGGAAACATGACAGAGTATTTATGTTCCATCATATTTATCAGGAAGGGGTAGTCCTGTGACTTTGACTTTTCAGACCAAGAAAGTTTAATATTTCACATGGATAACACATTGCATGTTTTGTTTTGAAATTTTTTGCATGTTAACAGCTACAAATGATGATCACACACTAGTATATATTTATACTTATGGACCAATTCGTCTATTAAATAGAGGATGGAAAGGAGAAGAGAACAAAGGAACTACTCCTTAATGAATCCTATCATATTCTAGACACGATGTAATATTTTGCACATTCTGTCTTCTAATGAAAAATCTTTGCTTAAAATGTATTCCTTATCTATATAGTTATCTACACATATAGAGTTATATTTACATCTATTGAAAGAGTATTTTTAATGTATTTCATGTTGGTACATATTCACACACATGCAAAACTGTTGAAGATAAATATAATAAAGAGCTCTGTACCTCCTTCCAGAAAATCTATAACATTTTGGCATATTTGCTCCTAATATCATTTAAGAAATATTGTCTTATAGTTTGTATTAGTCTGTTCAGGCTGCCATAACAGAATACCACACACTGGGTGGATTACACAATGGGAATTTATTTTATCACAATTCCGAAAGCTGAAAGTTTAAGGTGCCATCATGGTTGGTGCCTCGTGTGGCCTCCCTTCCTGGCTTGTAGATGCCTACTTTCTTGCTGTGTCCTTACACAACAAGAGATGACCATTCTCTTGCTGTGGCCTTTCTTCCTTGCAGTGGGGGTGGAGAGAGACAGAGAAAGGGAGAGAGGGCTGTGATGTATCTTCCTCTTCTTATAAGGATACCAGTCCTATTGGATTAGAGCCTCACTTTTATAAACTCATTTAACCTTAATTATTGCCCAAAAATAGTGTCT